>NC_000008.11:136318377-136620455 GCF_000001405.40 Homo sapiens | reverse complement strand
ATCTTCTTTTGGGCTACAGGCCTTATATTTGATGCCAACTCAACTCTCTCACTCAAAAATTTTAGTGCCTCCTGAATCAGTTTAAAATCCACATTGGTCACATTTTGTGGTAATATCACCTCTGTGCCTGAGCCTCCAGCATGTTTTGCAGTATAATTTCTCAGCACTGTTATTCCTCACATCCCTTTCACAGAGGCCAGCTTTGGTTAGCTGATTACTTGTATTTTCTTAAACATACCACCTAGGATGTGGCTACATCCCCCAACTATTTTCCCTCTACTTCTCTTTTATCACATTCTCTCCTAAGTATCCTTTAAATCTAAGGTCCAATAAAATTTATGGCACCGTGGATTTGTTGCTTAAACTTGGTTAACTACTTTCATCCTTAACATTCTTAAGGGCTCATCTTAGTTTTAGCATTTATCACAATTTTAATTGTATCTTTTACATTGTAAGCTCCATAATAGCAGAGATAATGTATGTTCTGTATTCCTTTGAATTCCCAATTTTTTGGAATGCATCTACCAACTCATATATATTGAATGAACATTTGTTGAATGATAGAAATAAGAGTACGCCAGCAGAAAAATTTTATTTATGACCTTGGATACAAAAAATTAATAATAGGATATTATCAAATCATATCTAACAGTAAAGTAAAATAATTGTTCAACACAACAAAAGGAAAACATATTTAAATATGAATAACTCACCTCAAATTGAAAATCCTTATGAATTATGTAAGTGGTAAGAATGCAAGATATGTATCTAAGTGCAATAATTATTTACAAGAAGTAAAAGCAAGCAAGAGTAAATAGTAATATGTTGAAGCCTTTGATTACTGAAAAAATCAGAGAAATGTGTATCATCAACACTATTATTCAACATTATCTTGAAATATCTAACCAATACAATGAGATAAAAAACAAAACTTGAAATAAATATTGTGAAAGGGAAAACAAACATATATCCCTTTGCAGTTGATATGATTGCATATGTAGAAAGCTCGGGAACCAAATAAAAACAATTTCTATCAAAAGAAAACTTAATGAGACAAATAGATTTAAAAAACAGTAATCTAAATTAGAATTATAAATATGTTAAACTTACGGTTTGTCCCAGTGTGTTAAGAAAGCTGCTCAGTGTGATTGAATTTAGGGCACATTTTCAGGACTGTAGGCGATGAGGTTAAATAAATAATCATTATGACTATCAAGTTTTGGGTTCTAACTATGAGCCAAGTGTCAGGCCTCTGAGCCCAAGCCTGCACATATACATCCAGATGGCCTGAAGCAACTGAAGAATGACAAAAGAAGTGAAAATGGCCGGTTCCTGCCTTAACTGATGACATTACCTTGTGAAATTCTTTCTCCTGGCTCAGAAGCTCCCCCACTGAGCACCTTGTGACCCCCTCCCCTGCCTGCCAGAGAACAACCCCTTTGACTGTAATTTTCCACTACCTACCCAAATCCTATAAAACGGCCCCACCCCTATCTCCCTTCCCTGACTCTCTTTTCAGACTCAGCCTGCCTGCACCCAGGTGATTAAAAAACTTTACTGATCACACAAAGCCTGTTTGGTGGTCTTTTCACACAGACACGCGTGACCCCATGCATATTGCAAATTGCTTTATAACTATTAGCTTGTTTAATCAACAAACACTTTGACAGAATTATCCACCTTTTCAAATAAAGATACTAAGCCCTAAAATGTTTAAGTGACTTACCTGCGATCACAAAACCTACCAGGCACAGAGCTGGGATACAGAGCTGTCTCCTTGAATCTAATATGCTGTTTGTAATGGAGTGAGACTCTGTAGGCAGGCAGATTGGAAGGGACATATGAAGGCTTTTGGAAGCTGCCAGGCTTCCAGGGTTTAGTGTCTTGTTCCCAAATTGGATGGGGGCCAACTGGGTTCCACTTGCTTCTGCTAGACATTTATCTCCCCAGGTGGCCTACCCTGGGCCTTCATTAATGCTTGACAGGAAAACACCAGGGCAGTGGTGAGAAAATAGTGTCTTGCAGAAGCATATTAAACAAACAAATGTGCTAGCTGGGATTACAGGCATTTAGATTGACAAGCGACATCAGGAGCTGCTTGCCTGCCGGAGAAGGAGGGCAGAGATAAAAAAGGAGCAACATGTTTTTCTTGTTTCTTTTAATTTTGCGTTGTCTGTTTTTCCCTTGAGCTCTTTTTGGCCAAGAAAGTGTCTTGGGCCCATCCATGTGACAGTGACTGAGCTGCTCTCAGCGAGTCTTTCCTGGGCTGGGCCTGTGAGGTTAAGGTCCAGGCTCTAATTTGGTGCAGGGTCAGAACTGCACCATAAGGCCTCATCTTTCTGGGGCCAGCAGCAATGTGGCTTATCTTCTTCTCATGGTAGAAAGGCTGAAGACCAAGAAGATTAACGCAGACCGTGCTGGTGAACATTTCATTCGTGAAAGTAAGTCTCTCAGACAAGCCTAAAATCAATAGGAGGAGAATATATATCCCAGTTGGAGGCACTGCAATGTCACATGGCAAAGGAAAGGATGAAAGAACTGAGGACAATAATGGCATCAAGCACTCCTGGCTCAGATCAATGTTGTAGAAAGGGGAATGTGTCCTCTAGTCTCGTCTTCCCAAAATTTGGACGTATCAATTTCACCCACAGGATTTTTTTTTCTTATCTTTATAACACCCATATCATTATTTGATACTTATTTCTGTTTCCATTGATCATTTTGGAAACTTATAGAAATCTATATTAAAATGGAGCTTTGTTTCACTAACTTGACTGACAAAAAAATCTGTTTTATTCACTATTAATAGAAGGTAATTGTACAAATAAATAATTTAATTTA
The DNA here is from genome assembly GCF_000001405.40 of Homo sapiens. Classification (NCBI taxonomy): domain Eukaryota; kingdom Metazoa; phylum Chordata; class Mammalia; order Primates; family Hominidae; genus Homo; species Homo sapiens. The sequence goes on along the minus strand of NC_000008.11, from coordinate 136,617,614 downwards.
AACTATTGCAAGACATTGTGACTACCAGAGGTGCTGAATCTCCCTTTGTTAAATATGTAATTAGCAAGTGCTATAGCAACATAACATAAATCTTTTTCTTTGGTATTATCAGGATAATTGAAAAGAAATGAATGGTGAGGATACTGTCATGATTTACTTAATACTCTCTCCCTGTACCACCTGAAATCATCTCCTGTTCATAATAAAACCATCTGAGTATCATATATTGAAAAACACTGTCCTAGGACGAGCCACTTATTTCCATGACATACGTGGGGAAAATGAGGCTCAACAACTTTGATAGACAAGGCAAAATTCACACAACCAGGATCAGAGACAAAACAAAAGCACCATCCTGGTCCTCCATTCAGTTGTGGCAGATTGCCTCAAAGCACTTCAGGGATGAGTTAATACTACTTAATGAGGCAAGATTTGGAAAGAAAAGGAGAAACAGGACAGGAGAGGTTGATATGAGGGAAGTCAGTGAGACTAGGTTTTGTTTATGGTTCTGGCACTGATTCACTGTTTATCCTTGAGTAGCTCAATTAATCTTCCTGGGTCTCTTGTTCCCGTTTGTCAACAAGCAGTAATGAATGGGCCTTACAGAAATGATAGGGGGATTAATAAGTAATACACATACAGTGCTCCGAGCACATCAAGGAAATGGCTTTGTGTATAAATGCAGTGTGTTACTGCCATCAGAAAGACAGTAGGTTGGGAGAGAGGAAAGACAAGAGAGAAAATGAAGGGGGCTAGAAATAAAAGCAAGTTAAAGGAAGTGAAATGGAATAGCACATGAAACCAGAAGAAGCAGAAAATAGAAGATACTTGTGTAAGAATGGAGAAAAGGTGGAGTAAGAAAAAGTAAGAATACATTCACAGAAATCTGGGGAATAAAAGACTTCACGTTAGTTATCAACTGGAGGGACTAAGCAGATAAGAAAATATGGTGGTAGAAAAAAGGACAGGGACAAATTGGGTTGTGGGTTAAACAGCAGGCTAGATAGGAGCAGATCTTGTTTCCACCAGCTCCACATCATTGGAAAGTCACTTTACTTTATTATCTCTATGTTTCCCATCTGTAAAAGGAAAATGTTGAGATGTTTGCTAAGAAAAGCTAAAAGAGGAATACTGGTAAAAAGAAGGTTAAAGGGAAAAGAAAGATTGCCAGACATAAATAAGTCATTTTGCTTTCTTCAGATGATGAATAAGAATTCTAAACTTATTTCACTAAAAAAAGTTAACATGTCATTACACACACACACATCCTATATATAATCTGTTATTCTCAATAAACTGTGTATCTGTCTAAAACTGACTTATTTTTATATAAAAATATTTTCACTGAGTTCACGAGAAGCCTGGTCAACACAGTGAGACCATGTCTCATGTCTCTACAACAAATACAAAAATTAGCCTGGCATGGTGGCATGCACCTGGAGTCCTAGCTACTTGGAGGCTGAAGTGGGAGGATTGTTTGAGTCCAGGAGTTTGAGGCTGCAGTGAGGTAGGATCATACCACTGCACTCCAGCCTGAGTGACGGAGTGAGACTCTCTTTCAAAAAAAAAAAAAATTATTCAAATTTTTTTATTTTAATGTTCCATAAAAATTCTAGTTTTCAAAAAATTCTGCAGATAAGGGTTTAAAAACAAACAAAATATCTCACATCATTGGAGTTTTACAGAAGTATTTCTTCAAAATAGATTCACCAAATTAAAATCTTTTAAATGGTCACTGAATTTAGAAACACTGTTTATCTCTCCTATTGAGATTATAACAAAAATAACTTCACCTCCTCAGACTACTTTAGTGATAGTTTCTAAGATAATCCATGACTAACTCATTGTAAAGGTAATTGGAACCTGCTATGGGTTAGCAAGTTTTGTATGGAGAAGATTAATGGGTTGTGCAACAAATTTATGCACAGTTTATTCGTGGAAATTTTGTTTCCTACTTGTCCAGGGACTTCAACTTCCTGCTGCATCCATTCACTCTACCATGCATTGCATAAAACAATTATATGCCTTTGGGGAAACTCCAGGCTGGCTACTGTGCTCTGGAAGAAATGGAATGCTTAACAATAGAAATAGTGGACAAGTGAGACAATGAGATTCAAGGTTGAAGCACATGCCTGGATGTATGAATGTGGACTTGAAGTATGAAGAGTTTTCCATTACATGTGACTGTCCATAAGAAAGCATTGGCCATAGAAGAAGCATTACATAAACAGCTAGACAAATGACTCAGCCAGTTCCTGTTAGCTAGCTTTCATCATCAACCACCACTGAACTGGCTTGATATGCACATGAACTGAGTGGACAACGCAGCAGAACATAGAGAAGATGGAGGCAATCCACAAGCCAGACAGCATAGACTCCAGTGAACAAGCCTACTCTAGCAGCAGTCAAGTCTGAATGTCCACACTGCCAGCAACAGGAACCAAGCTGAGCTCTCAATATGGCACAAATTCTTAAGGTGACCAATTAACCACTTGGTGACAGTTTGATTCCATTGCGTCTCTTTCTTTCTGAGAGGACCAGTGTTTTATCCTCACAAGAGCAGAAGCCTATTCCAGGCATGGTTTATTTTTTCTTCCTAAGGGGCCACAGCCAAGTATTGTTATCCGGGAGTGTATGGAGTGCTTGATGCTTAGGCATGGGATGTCATGCAAAGTATTGTCAGATGAGGGATCCACTCCACAGTGAAAGAACTTTGGGAATGAGTCCTTGGCACCTACTAGTTGTGTCACACACTATCCCAAGCAAAGACAACTAGCCAAATGGTATTGGGACAACCTGCTGAAAGTTCAGCCAAAGCTTCAGCTTAGAGTCAGTTAAGGATGAAGCTTATGCACTGAAATATAAACTCTGTTCAGCACTGTCTCCTCAGAAGGAAGAAAGTACGGGTCTGGGAACAAAGGCATGAATGCACATGTGCATTTATTTACCATGATTTCCAGTGACCTATTGGGAGACTTTGTCTTTTCCATCTCCATAACTCTGGAATCTTTAGGGTTAAGGTTTATAATCCTCAAACGGAGAACCCTCTTGACAGGGCCCCATCAAAAGTTCCATTTAGCTACAAGCACAGCTGCTGCCTGTGCTTCTGGGAATTCTAGTGTCCAGGTACCAATAGGCAAAAAAAGTAGAATCTGAATTTGACATGAATAATGGACCATAGTTAGCATGAGAAGGTAGGACTGCTGTTATACGCTAGAAACAGGCAGAGGCATATTTGCCAGCTAAGTCATTTGCTTGGATGTTGCTCAGTTCTCCTTTATGTAAAGTCAATAAACAGATATGCGCAATGCCCCTAACTTGAGTATGGTTTTCAGGAGCTCAGATACTTCAGGAATGAGAGTTTGGTTCACATCACGAGGTAAATCACCAAGGTCAGTAGAAATGATAATTTAGGGCAAAGGAAATTTGCAATCAATGCTGAAGGAGAGAGGGTGAATATCAATCGTGGCCCCAAGATGAAGGCTGTGGTTTATCCTACTCATCTAAGCTTTCTCTCAAGATAAGAGATCCGCAGTAATACTAGAAAAGCTCTAGAAGATGTGCATCTTCTGCTCAGATTTTCATCCATTATCTTTACTTTATGAGTTTTATTCTTTAAAAATATTTATTTCATTTATTAATGCAAATATTATTGAATACATAATTTTTCAAGAAGGAAAATATATGTTGAGTATTTATTATTCATTAAACTTTCTTGTAATAGATTAGAATATATCCATGAATAGTATAGTATATCCTGTCAGGGTTTTATTCTTCTAGGTTTTGAGTGTTCAATGTCAATGATTCTGTATTTCATTTTCAGGATTTCTGTTTGATTGTTGCTTAAGTCTTTCAACTCTTAATTACTATCTGCCTGTTTTATATTTTCTTTTTTGCTTGGTGAATCATATGTATTATTTAACCTCTTTGAGATTCTAAGCATATTTACCTTAAAATCATTTTTTATCACCAATTACATGAATTTCTTTCTGAATAACTTATTTCCTTTTGCATTTATCTCTTATTCTTCTTATTTACTCTCCATTTGCAAACATATTTTGAGTGGGTGTATGATTTTTTTCTTTCTTATTTCTGGCTCAATTTTCTGTATCAAACATTTTGTTATGGTTCTTCTACCTCCCAGGTCTTCAGTATACTACTTGGTTTTATAATGGCTTCACTGAAACCATTTGGCTTAGTCACAGTCATGTGAGCAAGAGTGTATGAGCTTCTCTGTTATTTCGCCCCCTTGCCTTAGCAGATAGGCAGGTTTAAGCAGGCAATCATCTATAGTTTTTCTCAACTCTCTTCCCCAATGATCCATGCAGAGCTTCAGTCATAGTTACTCCTCAAATGCAAGGTCTTGTCTCTCCTTCTTCCTCTTCGAAGATGCAGAGCCCAACAAGTCAGTAGCTTCAGTTAGCTTATTAGCACATATTTATATTTCCTATATACTTTGCTGAAATGATTCCATTTCTTTGCATGTATGTGTGTGTGACAATATTCATTCCTTTCTTTTTTATTTATTATCTACTATTTGCTGTGTTTTACATTTTATCTTAAGCTGTATTTTATGCTACGCCAATGCATGAAATAACAGTGACATTTTGAACTTCAGCTTTTCATTATGTCAGACTAGACTATCATCACTTACTTTCTATTCAATTAGAATAATTGATGATGTATTTTTATACATTTATTTCAAGCTTGCTAGAATTCAAGTATCCAAAATTACAAAAAGAAAACATTCGAGATGGATGAGCTGACATTGTGTTACTCTTCTCATTGAGGCACCTGCCAATGAAAAGTTCATTAGTAGGAAGTGATAGGTTGAACATAATGAGAACCAAGAGTCCAAGGAACTTAGCACAGACTCAGCAATCTAACAGGGCTAGTGGAAGAATGGACTTGTGGCCTATTGTAGAAGAGGAAAATTGGCGAACACACTAGGTCTTCAATAAGAATATACTGAATCAGACCAGAACTCACAAAGAATAAAAACATTCATGAAAATTTAAAATTTTAAACAAGCTCTATTTTCGACTATATTAGGTAATTTGTTTATCAAATCTAGCTTCTAGAAGTACAGCAAGTTTTTTTTTTTCCCTCTGGAGGAAAATCAAAACACTATCAAGAGAAATAAATTCAACCCATCAAAAAGTGGGCAAAGGATATGAACAGACACTTCTCAAAAGAAGACATTTATGCAGCCAACAGACACATGAAAAAATGCTCATCATCACTGGCCATCAGAGAAATGCAAATCAAAACCACAATGAGATACCATTTCATACCAGTTAGAATGGCGATCATTAAAAAGTCAGGAAACAACAGATGCTGGAGAGAATGTGGAGAAACAGGAACACTTTCACATAGTTGGTGGGACTGTAAAGTAGTTCAACCATTGTGGAAGACAGTGTGGCGATTCCTCAAGGATCTAGAACTAGAAATAACATTTGACCCTGCCATCCCATTACTGGGTATATACCCAAAGGATTATAAATCATGCTGCTATAAAGACACATGCACACATATGTTTATTGCGGCACTATTCACAATAGCAAAGACTTGGAACCAACCCAAATGTCCATCAGTGATAGACTGGATTAAGAAAATGTGGTACATATACACCATGGAATACTATGCAGCCATAAAAAAGGATGAGGTCATGTCCTTTGTAGGGACATGGATGAAGCTGGAAGCCATCATTCTCAGCAAACTATCACAAGGACAAAAAACCAAACACCGCGTGTTCTCACTCATAGGTGGGAATTGAACAGTGAGAACACTTGGACACAGGAAGGGGAATATCACACACCGGGGCCTGTCATGGGGTGGGGGGAGGGAGGAGGGATAGCATTAGGAGATATACCTAATGTAAATGACGAGTTAATGGGTGCAGCACACCAACATGGCACATGTATATACATATGTAACAAACCTGCACATTGTGCACATGTACCCTAGAACATTAAAGTATAATTAAAAAAATAACAAAAGAGAAATAAATTACTGGTTTACTTTTTAATTAAAAAGATCTAACATTCAATTAAAGATCAGTAGAACAGAGGATACTAGACACTGGAAAGGGCAAGGGCAAGAAGAGGACAAGGAGAGATTTGTTCAAGGATCCAAATTACAGCTAATAAGTTCTAGTGTTCCATTGTACTGCAGGATGGCTATATTTAACAATCATATGTTATATAGTTTCATAGAGCTAGAAGAAAGATATTGAATGTTCCCAACACAAAGAAATAATAGATGTTTGAGATGATGCTATTGAGATGTGCTAATTACTATGATCTGATTACTATATATTTCATATATTGAAACTGCATAATATTACCCCATAAATAGGTACAGTTGTTATATGTAAATGTAAAAATCAAATTAAAAAAATTTTTAAAATGCTATGGTCTGCTATTAAAATAGCACTTTTAAGTACTAAAAATATTTTAAAATGCTATTTTGATAAACATTAAAATATGTTTTTGTTCCCCAAAGTTCATATGTTGAAACCTAATATCCAACGTGACAGCATGACAAAGTAGAAGCTTCTGGGAAGTGAATCAAGCCATGAGGGTGTTGCCTTTGTGAATGAGATTAGTGCCCTCATAAAAGAGGCCTGAGGGTGCTTATTTGCCCTTCCATCATGTGAGGATGAGGCAAGAAGGCACCACTTATGAAGCAGAGAGTGAATTCCCCACCAGACACGGAATTCACTGCCACCTTGATTTTGAATGTCCCACAATCCAAAACTGTGAACAATAAAATTCGATTATTGATAAATTACCAATTCTAAAGAATTTTGTTATAACAATAAGACAAGCAATAAGAGCACACTTTTATTTTAAAGTGAACTGAATATAATACTTTCCAATATTGTGCAAATGCTGGGTCATAAAGCAAGTTTCAGTACATTTAAGTGACAAAGAATTAGGACATATTCTCTGCATACAGTATATTTAAACTGGAAATAAGTGACAAAAAATAACTAGATGAACTCCCATGTTTTTTATTTAATCATTTCTTCTATAATTTTCTTATTAATTAATGAAGATACCAAACGAATATTAGAAGAGTTTCTGGCCTGGCTTAAGCCTGTAATCTCAACAATTTGAGAGTCTGAAGCATGAGGATCACTTAAGGCCAGGACTTTGAGACCAGCTCAGGCAACATAGAGAGACCATGTCTCTACAAAAAAAATATATAAAATATAATTAGTCAGGTGTAGTGGCATTTGCCTATAGTCCTAGCACCTCAGTAGGCTGTGACCAGAGGATTGCTTGAGCCCAGGAGGTTAAGGCTATAGTGAGCTGTGATTGTGCCATTGTACTCCAGCATGGGGGACAGAGCGAGACTCCATCTCTTAAAAATAAAAAAAAGAAAATGCTCTTAGTTAATAAAAATTAAAATATGACATTTTGAAATCTGTGTGATAAAATATAATTTGACATTTATGAATATATATGTATTATGAATATAAATGTAAATGAAAATAAAATATAATTTTATATTTCTTCTTAAAGAGAAATGTAGTTGCTTAAATGGCTGTAATAGAAGGAAAAAAAGAGAAAGGCCGAAATTCACATCTAAATTGTCATCTTAATAAAATAGCAAATATTAGTATATGATCCCAAAAGGAGAAAAGTAGAAGGACATAATAAAGATAAGAACAGAAATGAATGAAACAGAAAACAAATATTCAGAGAGACAATCAACCAACTCAAAATTTCTTCATTGAAAAGACAGGTAATTTGGCTGTATTCTGGCAATATAACCAAAAGAAAAACAACATCAATATCCAGAATGTAAAAAGATACGTCAGTCAGATCTTATATATATTAAAATACTGTTAAAATAATTGTATGTCAATAATTTGAAATTTTAAATAAATACAAAAATCTCTGTGTAATTTAATATAAAACTGACAAAAGAATTTCCACAATATCTAAAAAGTCATATGTACTAACAACTTTAAAGCTTAACCATTCTGTCTCTAAACAGTATCACTCCATCCAGGATGCTGCCATAGTAAATACTTCCAAAAACTTAGGGAAGAATTAAGTTTAGTCTTAAATAAACTCTTTTGGAAAAGTTGAACATATCAAATTCATTTTATGATGCTATTATAACCCTGGTACAAAAATATGACAAGAATATTACAGAAGGAAACTTACAGGCCCAACTCTTTCATAAATATAAATGAAATATTCTTTAACAAAATACTAACAAGCCAAATTCAGAGATACAAAAAATATTCGTAAGCCACAAACAAGTTGTGTTTATTCCAATAATTATCGTTGGTTTCCACTAGGGAATCAAGGAACTACATTAACAAAATAAAGGAGAAAAATCATTTGATCTTCTCAAAAGAAACACAAGGAATCTGTTAAAATTCAACACCCATTCATGGCATTAACATCAAATCAGATATCCTTATTATCTCTTTAGTGGTTAATAGACATTTATTGAGTCATAAGGTTTATTTACTAAAGCAAAATGCAGTGAAGTCATGATAATAGAGGGGTTGAAAATGCTAGAATATATGTGTGTTCATTTGCATGTGATTCTGTATGAATTCTAGATGTCACTCTGAAGTTGCTGTCTACCACAGCTATCATTTATCCCAGTGGCTATAACTGTGAGACTCACAGTTTCCCCTGCTCCTTATCCTGGTAGAGGGTCTAATTTCAGTATCTGGACTTTCCCTGATGGCCATTGTCCCACGGTAATTAAAAAGATGATTTATTTCCAAGTTTTGAAACACATGCTTACTTTTCCCCAATTTGTAAATTCAACATTATATCTTCCCCAGTTCCCCACAACCCTTTCACACCAGAAAATAGAGTGGTGTTTTTTTCAAAGACTTTAGTGAATTGAAAGCTAAACAATGATAATATTTAACAAGTGAATTTTTTTTCTATTCAAATCTTTTGTCTCAGAGAATGGTTAATCTAGTTTCTGAATCACTTCATTTTAATTGTGGGCAATTCCTTAGAGATTTTCTAGTGAAACCTATGTTATGCAGAAAAAAGATGAGGAAATTGAAGCTAGATGATATTATCAAGGAAGACTAATTAAGATTGAGCCTGTACAAGAACTTCAAAAATCTTGGCTTCTTCTAATAATGTTTCTCCCATATAACAAGTTCATCTTCTCGATTTCTCTCTGAATTAGCAGAAGAGGTAATTACAAAATAATTCACACCTGTAAAACCTCAATGAAATACGTGCAAATAGAAATACATGAAAACATTCTAAAACTTCTCCCGTTTGCTTAGTATTTAATAACTCCTTAATGAATGGCACACAAAATAATTGCTTTGAGTTAAAAGGTGGCACCATTAAAGGGTGCTCTGCAGGAAATAAAAAGGAAAGGCAAGTTGGACAGAGGCCATATGGGATGTGCATATTCTAGGAAGAAGAAACTGAGTTTTAGGAATGAGGAAGGTAAGGTGTATATTCTTGCTTGACTGAGATCATATTTTGGCGTATGACTACTCACCTTAGAGTTAAAATGACATTACTAATGGAGGAAAAAAAAAACAACAAAATTATAATTGATGACAGTGTAATCATTTTCACCCATTCAAAATTCATTTCTCGACGAAAGCAAGGGAAAGAGCACAAGTAAATATATTTCAGAATGAGAGAGAATGAAAAATTCAGAAAATCTCAATATGTCTGAAGTTCCCAAAGTTTGCAAGAATGAAGGTAGAAGAATGAGGTTAGAGGCGCAGGTGGAGATTTGATGAGGTAAGTTTCAGTGGCAGTCATTAAGCTGCTCACTCAACCACTAGCTGCTCTCTTTTGAACACAGTAGGATTTCATTTTCCGACTCTGTGGGAGTAGACTTGACTAATAATGGTGAATAGAAGTGACATTTGGGAATACCTGGACAGAGAATTTGGTTTCTGGTTTGAGAAGCTTTAGAACTCCATTTCTCTTTGGTTTGACAAACAGTGACATTCTAGACAGTGGCTTAGCTAAATTTGTTAACCAAATTTCCTGAGCAAATATAGTAAGTAAAAACCTTGGGTGACTCATGATGGAGAAGTTGCATTAGTGGAAAGTAAAATATTTCTGCTCTAACGTTCTGACTCTGGGAGTGGCTATTACTATGGTGTAGCCTTGCCTGCCTGACAAAGTCCCATAAAGTATTTTAGAATTTGGGTCTATATATTGTTCACCAGTGGGCATAGTTATGGATCAACCACGAAGTGGTCAGCATAATTATGTTCCCCCCTAAATTCCCCTTCGAAAAAGAATTAGTTATAACAACAGACTACATGTACCAGCTACTTTAAGAGATGGCTTCAGCTGCAGATAACTACTACACACATGGTCTCCGCTTTTTGTGAACAACTCACAGAGCTAATGGCTAATTGTGATGAAGTTTAAAGACTTGCATATTTCAAACCAATTCTAAACAACAGTGAAGAGTCAGCTTTTCTCCAGAGCTGCCTGTGGAGTTGGCTGAGGCTGTTGGTGGACTAAAAGCTCAACTTCTCCCTCTACCCAAACCCAATTTCTTATTCTTCCTTTTGCTGGTGTTGATTCCAAGGATGCTACCTAACAAATATACTATAAGATTAATTCTGCCCTCGAAAGAGCAAAGCCAGGGAAAGTCAGTGCTGGAGTCCACAAGCAGGCAAGAAAACGGTGTATTGTAGATGGATCACTCATCACCTGGCCAGCAATGAGAACTCCATCAGTGTGGTTGCTGGAGCACAGCGGGTCACTGCCTTAGGCTGTGGTCTAATTGCTCAAACTTTCACTTGTAGTGAAATAGGACATAATATCTGTGGAAGCAAATGTCCTATCTGATGCAGTATTTTAGCCACATGAGAAATATGAGGGAAATATTAGCCAGGGAAGTAGAATTGGGTGGCTGTTGAAAGACGTGATGCATACTCTAGGAAAAAATGAATAAATAAGGAGAGGCTGTGAGCTGTGTGTAAAAGCCATAGAGTCTCATTTATAGCATACAAGTAGACTCTTCTCTTTGCCATTGGAAGTTTAGAGAAAGCTGAAGACAAGCACTAGACCCTAATTATCAGACAGCCAAGCTCCAAAGAATATTATATTCCCAGTAATGGTTTTACTAAAATGGCTCTACAGACAATTAGCTGTCACGCAAAGGTTCAGTTTAATAAGAGTCAAGAGAACAAGGCTTACAGACACCAACCCTGCCAAGCCAAAGCAAAGACACCCTTATGCATTTTGATACTATATCTTAATATAAATTTTTTTTCAATAAAGATGCTACTGCTACAAAAAGAAAGCTGGAAATTACTGGCCTATTATCACATTATATAATCCACTAAGCCCAGCAGAAATGTGAAAATTGAGAATAACTTATCATCCTATTACACACACACACACACACACACACACACATATCTTCATTGTGCAAATTGGGGAACTTAGAATTTTAGATCAAAATAGTATTTCCTAACACCTTTCTTTATCTGCCCTTTAGCTAATTTTTTCATTGTTAATTTTACTGAGATGATTGTAGCATATGTGCTTGGAAATTACAATGTAAATACTAATAAAAAATTAATTTATAACAATGTTTATGGGTATAAATATATTTTGAGAAAATGTGAGTAGTTTTTAAATTCCAAGAAGGTTGGGGATATGAATATTGAACTAAATTATAAAATGCTTTAAATATTTTAGTTTTGGGAGACATATTTAAGGCTAAGATTACAAAGATAATTATACACACGAAAGATTTGTAGGATACCTGAACATCAGCTATTTTATGAAGAATAATAATTATGCCTTAAAATTTTATTGCGTGACTCAAAATACATCTCCAATTTTATTTCCACTAAGCTTGATTTTCATTTTATAAATATAAAGCACTTTCAGAGGTTTAATTTCATATGCCACTGAATAAAAAGCTTTATTTATTGATGGATATGTTAATATTAAAATTCAAAATAAAATCAACCAAACTGAACTAAAACCCACAAAACTTAGAAAGATAGGTGAAAGTCAATGACTAAAAATGATGTTAAACACATTTGAACCCAGCCAGATGCCCACATGAGCAATTTCTGTTTTCCCACAAAACAGAAACAACAGGTAATCTTCAGTATGACAACTAGAGTACTAGGTATCTATATCCATGAGAAAGAAATGCCACTTTCAATATTTCAAAAATAGAAAATTTATTTATATGTATACATTTTCAACAGCTTCTTTTGAAAAAAAAATTCAGAATATCATAAAAACACAGCCTTTGGCTATAAAGTCCAAAATATTTTAGTTTTGTTCAAACTCTCACACTTCATGCTTGTGAATCAGAAGTACAAAAATTCTAGAAAGATAATCTTTCAGGTTCAACTTGCAAGAAGTGTCCACCTCTGAGCCAGTAATTGTGACCAGCAAAATATTTTAAGTATAGCTAATACTGTGTGAGCAGTAGGAGAGTAGACCTTGCAGAGAAAGGGAATCAGTATGAGCATGGAAAATATTTTATAAGAGATGTGGCTCTTATACCTGCAGACAAGATTCAGTTCTTAATATACACCATTAGCTCTGTGATTTTATTTCAGTTGTAGTGTATCATTTGCTGTTATAAAGTTTAGTAAACCTGATTAATAACAGATTAAAACTGTAGGTTTCATGAAAGCAAGACATACATATATTTTGCTTCCTTATTGGTTTACAAATCTAGCACAGTAAATTTCAGTAAATATTTGGGTAATTATATGAATGACCAAATAAATGGAAAGAATGGATTTTTATTGGACACCTGTTAGATCCAGTCCAATCCTGGTAAATCTAAGAGTTTGCAGGATAGTCTAATAAAGAAATTTATTTCTGTTCCCAGGAATAGAAGTCAAAGTAGACACTCTCTTAAAAATAAATAAATAAAGAGAGGAGGGAGCTCTTGACACAGTTCCATGTGCAATTTAATAGTAGAGCACAGACAGTCTATGTAAATGGTGGCCACTGGAATGAAGGAATCATACTCAAAGCTCCCGCAGAGAACACAGCCCTGACTCTACATGAGTGGATAAAATTCTGGCAAGGTTTGATACTACTTCCTACTTTCCCTGGTTCAAATTAAAAAATGAATAAATAAAAGCAGGGGATGGGTGAAAAAAAGAGAATACCTGGCTAAATAAGAATTAAATTCTACAGCATTTTCCAATTCAGGTGTGTGTCATGCAGCTGATAGTAGAGAAGGGTTGCGGTATTTTTCTAATAGCCTACAAGGTCCTCAATAAATCATACACATCTATTTTAAACATAAATTCTACCTGTATGGTTATGGTCACATTTGTCAGCTGGATTTATAGTTAAGGTACTCATGCTGCAACTAAATTAGTGACATGTCTAGTAGCCAGAGAAAGAAAATTTTGTTGTAAATTGGTATTTTCTTGGGGAACCCCAACCCACAAATGTAGTTTCAGGGGCCTAGTGTAACAGGATAATGGTGGTACATGTTGCTGTACCAATAAGAGGATAATAGCCCTAAGTACAGAAAGATTGAGGTGCTTGTTTTTACTTACTTCACAGTATTCATTTTCTTAAGACATTAGAGGTACAAGCTGTGTGTATCCTTCTCCTTCTTCTCCTCATCACCGCTATAATCTTACCTAAAGCATGTTTCTGTTACAGAGGCCAGAATGTACTTCCAATTAGTAGCATCGGGCCTTTTTTCTTGATAAAATAATAAAAGCAAGACAAGCCTGTCTAATAGTTTTTGGAGAACATTTCTGTTCCCCTAGCTCCTGTCAGAATCATGGGTGTAGGGAATTCAAAATATTAAACTACACTCTAAGCACAACAGTACCAAAAAGATTAGTATAAGATTTGAGCCATTCCAATTTAACTGTCTCCCCTGCTCCTACCTTTTTTCTCCTAGAGTTAAAACAAACAAGCCAAACAACAGCAAAAACCCCCTCCATTTCAAAACAACTCTTAGGACAATTAGGTTACAATTTGTGAAATGGTATTTTTCTGAGCAAAAAAAAATACAAAAATCATGTTTTAACTTAAGAACAACAGTTAAAAGTCACAAATGGCAGTATTTGTCTTCATTTTCTTCCAAGGAAGAGAAGAAAGTCATTAACTGTATGCTAGGTGTTAGAGGGGCTTTGGGTGATAATGAGGCATTGAGCAAGGTCACCTGGACTGGTGCTCCATGGACTATTGCATGTAGTGCTACTAAGAATCCAATAAAGTAGGTTCTACTCTGCTTTTCTATACATAAGAAAGCTTACCCTTTGTCACTCACTAAGTGAAGGAATCAGAATTCAAAAGCAAGGGCTCACATACTTAGCCACTATTCCAATAATCATCTGTTCTATAACCAAGAATATTTATTAGTATAAATAAGATGTGTTATGCAAGTAAATGGGGTGGCAAGGGTTTTAAGATAAACAAACAGAATGAGAGAAGGGGAGGCAGATTTGGACCCCAACCAGTAGGGCTGAGACTGCCTAGGACTGAACTGTAAAGACTCTACTTCCAGGAATCTAAATGTACAAGGACTCCATCTGTATTTATATATATATATATATATATATATGTCTGTATTACATATATATGTAATATATATGTACATATATAATATGTTATATATTAAATAAAGTTAGTTTAGTTCAAATTAATATGTAGAAGTTATTTAATGCATTGAATATTGAGGTCTTAAAATTTTGGCACTCTGACAGGTGTTTTTATAGCAATCATTTTTGAATTCATTTATTTATTAAAACATTGATTACTTTCAATATTGTATGTATTCTGCATTATAGGCATTGTGCATGATTTTAGGGATGCAAAATGAGTGACCAGATGTTTTACTTCATAATGCTTTTGCTTCTGTTGCTCTTTCTTTGAGGACTATGTTTCTTTTCTCTCAGATAGGCAAGTACCTGTTTATCTTCTAAGACTCAGCTCAAACATCACTACTTGATTATATGATTGCATCTTTCTAAAGCACTCTAAGTTCATGAGGACAGTTCCCTTTTCTGAATTGTTTTTTATTTCCAATACTAGGAAAATGATTTGAAAACAAGTGGCTCTAAACAAATATCACTTCCCTAAAATATATAAAGTAATTAATTATATAATTACGGAAGTGCATGCTATTTAGGTGGTCAATTCCTTACCATAGAAGAAAGATGATTTCATTGTAATGTGCTATGCATACAAACTGATGAGAAAGCACAAAGAGAGAAGCACAAATTAACACCAAGAAAGGAGCAAGTGCCTCAAAATGGAGAAAAGGTTATGTTAACCATGAGATTTGATGAAAAAATAGGAGTTAATTGGAAAAATGAGAGTGAAGGAATATCTGAGCAGAGGAGGTACTTTTAAAGGTTTTGCTTGCTAATATATTTAATAAATTCAGACTTCAATAACTGCTAGTCGGTTTTCTATGCAATTTCTCTGCTCCACCACAAAATCAACCATTCCTAGGTTAGATGAAGAATAGCTGAATTTGTTGAGAGCCTCAACTCTATGCCAGATGGAGCATATTTATATAAAGATTAGATACTTAGGTGACAGATGATAGGTAGGTAGGTGAGTAGGTAGACAGACAGACAGATCAATAGATAGATAAATGGATAAGTAGATAGATATATAACAACTATTTTTAATCTATATGCCAATTTTATCTTAAGTAGTGGGAGGCTAAGAAAGGATAACATCCTTGATCAGACTCCAATAATTGATACATGATTTCTCTGAAGGTTTTGTGATTGTATTACTTACGACAAATTTTATTAGAAATATATATGATTATAAATTGGAAATACACATTAGAATCCAAATCAAATTCATATTCAAAAAATACATTTTATTAACTGCCAAAGCTGACAGCTTATAAAAATAAATAACTTTATTTCGGCATCCCAATCCTTTATCTGCATTATTGAAAAAGATGAGGTAGTCTTAACATATTTCTGAGACATTGCAATAAACCCTCAACTTAATGTTATTGTTGTTCAAAGAGTAAATTTTTTTCTAACATCCAGCAGATACAGTTATCTGAGCAAGCTGACCACAAAAGTTATATAAATGGCATACAACCTCTTTAAGCTCTCGTGCTGTGGACACAAATCTAAACAAGAAGGCATCAGAAGACATTCTTACTGGCCTATATCAAGATGTACTATAATAAAGAAGAAATCTTAATTTGTTCATGTAAATGGTCTAAATCAATTGACTTTTATGTGTCTGTTTATTACTTTGGAACATGAGAAACGTACATTAACATTCAAAGTTACTGATAAGATTGATGAGGAAGAATAAAGAATTATATTTAATAAGAACACTATATCCCTATGATGAAAAGCAATCTTAAAACATCAAGTCCCATTTTGATTGGGGCACAATTTCTGGCTTTGAAATGAACAGATTTAAGAAAATAATCTATAGTTAGAGTTTTCAGAAATATGCAAATAAAACAATACCACTAGACAAAAAGTTAAAGTACCACAATAGAAAAGATTCAACACTGCATTTAGAAAGGATATGTGCTAGTCCATTTTCACACTGCTGATGAAGACACACCGAGACTGGGCAATTTACAAAAGAAAGAGGTTTAATGGACTTAACAGTTCCATGTGGCTGGGGAGGGCTCACAATCATGGTGGAATGCAGGAGAAGCAAGTCGCGTCTTATACGGATGGCAGCAAGAAAAAAGAGAGATTGTGCAGGAACACTCCTGTTTTTTTAAAACCATCACCTCTTGTAGACTCACTCATTCAATATGAGAACAGTGCAGGAAGGATCAGCTCCCATAATTCAATCACCTCCCACTGGGTTCCTCCCATGACATGTGGGAGCTGTGGGAGTTGCAATTCAAAATGAGATTTGGATGTGGACACAGCCAAACCATATCATTCCGCCCCTGGCTCCTCCCAGATCTCACGTCCTCACGTTTCAAAACCAATCATGCCTTCCCAACAGTCCCCAAAAGTCTTAACTCATTTCAGCATTAACTCAACAGTTCTCAGTCCAAAATCTCAGCTGAGACAAGGCAAGTCCCTTCTGCCTATGAGCCAGTAAAATCAAAAGCAAGTTAGTTATTTCCCAGATACAATGGGGGTACAGGCATTAGGTAAACACAGCCATTCCAAATGGGAGAAATTAACCAAAACAAAGGGGCTACAGGTCCCATGCAAGTCCAAACTCCAGCAGGGAAGTCAAATCTTAAAGCTCCAAAATGATCTCCTTTGACTCCATGTCTTGCATCTGGGTCACGCTGATGAAAGAGCTGGGTTCCCATGGTCTTGGGCAGCTTCACCCCTGTGGCTCTGCATGGTACAGCCTCCCTCCTGGCTGCTTGCACAGGCTGGCATTGAGTGCCTGTGACTTTTCCAGACACACGGTGCAAGCCGTCAGTGGATCTACCATTCTGGGGTCTGGAGGATGGTGGCCTTTGTCTCACAGTTCCACAAGGCAGTGCTTCAGTAGGGACTCTGTGTGGGAGCTGCAATCTCACATTTCCCTTCTGTGCAGCCCTAGCAGAGGTTCTCCATGTGGGCCCCACCACTGCAGCAAACTTATTCCTGAACACCAAGGTATTTCCATACATCCTCTGAAATCTAGGTGGAGGTTTTCAAACCTCAATTCATGACTTCTCTGCACCTGAAGACTCAATACCGCATGGAAGCTGCCAAGGCTTGGGTCTTGTACCCTCTGAAGCCATGGCCTGAACTGGACTTTCGCCCCTTTTAGTCACAGCTGAAGTGGCTGGGATGCAGAGCACCAAGTCTCTAGGCTGCACACAGCAGGGGGTTCTTGAGCCCAGCCCACAAAACCATTTTTCCCTCCTAGGCCTCCAGGCTTATAGTGGGAGGTGCTGCTGTGAAGACCTCTGACATACCCTAGCAATATTTTCTCCATTGTCTTGGGGATTAACATTTGGCTCCTTATCACTTATGTGCTGCAGCTGACTTGAATTTATCCTCAGAAAATGGGATTTTATTTTCTATCGCATTGTGAGGCTGCAAACTTTCTGAACTTCTATGCTCTGCTTCCCTTATAAAACTGAATGCTTTTAACAGCACCTAAGTCACATTTTGAACACTTTGCTGCTTAGAAATTTCTTCTGCCAGATACCCTAAATCATCTCTCTCAAGTTCAAAGTTCCACATAGCACAGGAGCAGAATGCTGCCAGTCTCTTTGCTAAAACACAACAAGAGTCACCTTTGCTCCAGTTCCCAACAAGTTCCTCATCTCTATCTGAGACCACCTCAGCCTGGACTTCATTGTCCATATCATTTTCAGCATTTTTGTCAAAGTCATTCAACAAGTCTCTAGAGAGTTCAAAACTTTCCCACATTTTTCTGTCTTCTTCTGACCCCTCCAAACTGTTCCAACCTCTGCCTGTTACCCAGTTCCAAAGTCACTTTCACATTTTTTGGTTATCTTTTTAGTAGCACCCCACCCTTGGAATAAATTTACTGTACTAGTCTGTTTTCATGCTGCTGACAAACACATACTTGAGACTGGGCAATTTAAAAAAGAAGGAGGTTTAATGGACTTACAGTTCCACATGGCTGGGAAGGTCTCTCAATTATGGTGGAAGACAAGGAGAAGCAAGTCATGTCTTACATGGATGGCAATAGGCAGAGAGAGAGGGTTTGTGCCGAGAAATTCCTGGTTTTTTTTTTTCTTTTTTTTTTTAAACTATCATATCTCGTGAGACTCATTCACTATGATGAGAGCAGAGCAGGAAAGACGTGCCCCCGTAACTCAGTCACCTCCCACTGGGTTCCTCCCATGACATGTGGGAATTGTGGAAGTTATGATTCAAGATGAGATTTGAGTGGGGACACAGCCAAACCATATCAGGATACTTCTGGAGGGTAAACATGATGTTCAGAAAATGTTTCAGGAAATGTACTATAGTGAAATAAACTGATTTTCTATTGACCTTATAAAGCAATATTGACACTATCCAATAGCAACTGTCAGGGATTAAGAAGGAAGTTCTACCATCATGATCATTGTACTTCATCAGAAAATCGTTTTCTTTAAATTCATATATATTCTCATGTGACAATTTGATTTATTTTTGGGAAAATAGTTGAAAAAAACGCAAAAAACTTCTCTCTTTTAGTTACTGAATAAGTCATTTTTAAATGATCAAGTTCCCAAGCCATAATGAGACCCTGACTTGGCTCTGGATTACAATAATGAAAAGCTATAAGTGGAATTTGAACCCATTTGTAAGTGTGAAAGTAGATATATGATACTTGTTCTACTCTGTGATTTGTTGAATTCATTTTATTTTTTTCTCTTAGTGACTTTATTTATAATAACCCCAAACACAAAATAGTACCAACACTGTGATATCTATAGATAGATAATAGATAAATAGATAGGTAAATAGAAGATAGATAGAGAGATAGATAGATAGAGAGATAGATAGATAGACAGATAGATAGATAGATAGATAAATGTGAGTATTATTGAAGTCACTTAGCCACTCAGCAGAACAGAGATATTATGTGTGTTTATTTAATCTAATTCTTGTTTTTCATCTGTCCCAAAAGGCCAACTTTCCAAATCTCATCTAAATCTGTTTGCTGATAGAAAGGGAACCCTGAGTGTCACTGACACATGTGAGCTCCAAGGCTTTTATTTCCTTCTTTCAAAGGAAGGTCCACATCATTTTCTACATTATAGCCTGTAAGGGTGGCCACCCTGCACCTGGTTCATTAGATTTGGGTACAATCTTTCCAGGCTGACAGAGAAACCAACCCCACTCTCAGCAGGAGAGATTTGAGCATTCAGGCATCATGGAATCTCTCAGTTCTAGCTTCACCTAAGTATTTTTTTAATTAAAAAAAAAATTAGTGATATTATGAATGGTATGTTTTTAAATTTCAAAATATCAATTATTCATTGGTGGTATGTAGGAATGCTAGCTACTTTTGCTATATTAACCTCAGTCCTGTGACCTTACTATATTTACTCATTAGCTCTAGAAGTTTGTCTTTTTTGTTGTTGTTCTTGATTCTTTGGGAATTTTTTTATATAGACAATTATGTCAAGTGTGAACAAAGCTTTATTTCTTCCCATAAGTATACCTTTATTTTATTTTTTCTTACTGCACTAGCTAGGACTTCCTATATAATGAACTGAGAGTGAATATTCTTGCCATTTTTCAACTTTTAGGGGAAGAATATCCAGTTTCTCAGTGTTAAATCTGATTCTAACTATAGGATTTTTGTAGATGTTCCCTATGGAGTTGAGAAAATTTATCTCTATTGTTTGTTTGCAAAATGTTTTTATCATAACTGAGTGTTGGACTATCAAATTTTTAATTTGTATATATTGACATGATCTTGCAATTTTTCTCCTTTAGCCTGTTAATATGATAGGTTAAAGTAATTGGTTTTTGAATGTTCAAACATCCTTGCATATCTGGCAAAAAATTACACTTGGTTATAGTGTATAATTTTTTACACATTTTTTGATTCAGTTCACTAATATTTTGTTGAGGATTTTTAAATATATATATACACATACATACATACACAGAGAGATATATTAGGAAATACATTTCTCTGTGTGTGTACATATATGTGTGTATATATATTTTAAATATAATATATAAATACATATACTTTAAATATATAATACATAAAATATATATTTTTAAATATATATTATCTCTCGCTCTCTCTCTATATATATATATGTGTGTGTGTGTGTGTGTGTGTGTGTGTGTGTGTGTATAGTAGAGGCAAGGTCTCATTATGTTACCCACCCTGGTCTCAAACTCCCAGGCTCAAACGAACCTCCTTCTTTGGCCTCCCAAAATGTTGGGATTACAAGTACAAGCCACTGAATCCAGACTTTCTTGAGGATTTTTAATGTATGTTCATGAAAAATTTCATCCTATAGTTTCCCTTTTCTATTACTCTTATCTAGTTTTGCTATTAGGGCAATTCTGGCTTCATAAAATGAGTAAGGAAGTGTGCCCTCTGCCTCTATATTTTTAGAAGGGATTGTAGAGATTTGGTATCGTATTTTTAAATGTTTGTTACATCCAAATGCCTGCTTGTTGCCCTGGGAATGTTAGTTTCGGAGGGTGCAGCTGTTGGACGATGAGCCGGACATGGAGTAGAGGAAAGCAATCATCAGTTGGGAGCCACAGGGCATTTCTGTTATCTTTTTGTTGCTACATCTAAATTTTACATCCTCTGAAATTAATGATGTCTGTTTTGTTTTATCTTTCTAAAACATAATCACATCACTCTTTTGGCCAATTCTAAACTAGATTCCTACTCCTGCTACAGATGAGGGAAATCGGAAATCTAGGAAACAGTTCCGGGTTTTAGACAAGCTGACATCACACAATTGAACCTATGAATCAGAATAATTAGCCTAAGGTTTCCTTGGTCAACACTGAGCATTTGACTTAGTTTATCCTGAATGGTAAAGCTTTCCCACTATGCGTATAATCTTACCATCCACTCACCTTAGAGAAGGAGGAGGATCATTGTTATGGCTCAAGACTAATATAATAATACCACAGAATATGATTGTCACTTTACAGTGAATAGCCTATTTTATTTTTATTTTTCATATCATCTGGTCATATGTTTGTAGTAGTATCTATGTATGTGTTGTCATAAAATGGGCTTGTGAGTGTGCTGGGTGGAAGAAGATAAAAAGGGAAATTTTTCCAACAGAACACTTAGATTAAGTATAAGCCTTAAGATTTAGATGAAAAAAATGTTTTCTTTACCTTGTTACACATCTTATATTTGATTTGTTATATTTTTCCTCTTTTTTCTTTAATCATATGAATCATAGGAACTCTAGGACAAAGATTAGGTTTTAAACTTGGAAGAATTCCAAGTTTTGGACTAATTAATTTTTGTCTAGTCTGCTCATGGCTGTTGGCATCCACTTGACAGAGGAAATACATTGAATTAGTGGTGCTTGGATTTTACCCATTATTTTATATTGTACAAGGGAGTGGCCAAAAATGTCAAACCTCTGCCCCAAGTTTAAAAACACATATTGGGACATTTCTCGATGAAATTAAATATTTAGAGGGAATAGATACCAGAGCATAACATACATTCAAGGTGCTGCTTCTCTCTCTTCTTTGTGGTGGTCAGAGTTACAATGGCCAGAGAATGAGTCTATACCAGAAAAGGCCAGACCTTCTCACTTGAAATCCTCTGGTACAGCTCCTGGGCCATAGGGCAGCTCTCCTGGCCTGCTAAGATCTTAGAAAGTGAGGATCTTTCTTTCTGTAGTCCCTCTGTTCCCTGAAGTCTATGCCTGTGTCTCCTTCTATTGGAGGGAAAAGTTCACACAGTTTGAACAGGGCTGTGAGAAACCTGCAGAGCGAGACTTCCACCCGTCTTTGTTCCAGGCCTCTCATGCTCATCTCAATCAGGATGAAAGAGAGAGCTTCAATCACTAGAGAACTTAAGGGAGTCTGGGGTCACAGACTTACACATAATGTCTATTAATAAAGTGTCCTTTTTTACTCATCTATCTCTTTTCTTCGTGGGATTGATTTGGATAAGAATTATTGTATTTTGTCATTTGTTTACAAAAATGTTAGCAATTTCGACTAGAGTCCCACATGGATTTATGAGGCTGAACTCTAATGAAAAATACAAAGTTTTTTCCCCAGGGTTTTTCTTTTTATTTATTTATTTTTTATTTATTTTTTTTTTTTGAGTAAATTCTCTAAACCACTTGCAGACGAGTGCATCAGGATCAGAAACTGACTGACTCCTCACTGGGTGTTAATATTATTTCTCCCACTTTAGAAATTAGAAACCTGAATATAAGAAAGAAAATCAACTCCATCTTTTTCCACAGTTATGAAGTGGTTAAATCCGGATTCAAATGTAGCTATCTCTGTCTATAACAACTGTGAGCTTTCAAATTTTAAATATTGCCACCCATAATTTAATTGATGCCTTGAGATTCTCTAATTCTTCTCCACATCCAAATGAAGTTCCATAAGTGTGTTCCCTTTCAGAAAGTGGAGATCTTAATAAAATTATGAATTTTAATATAACTATGACTTTATCCTACTTTATTATTATTTGACATATAGGAATATGTAGTTTAAACAAATCCATTATTTCAACTGAAATATGGTAGAAAAAAGGCATTTCTATTTATATTTGTTCTCTTTTAGGAAATTAAAGATCCAAGAGTTAAATTCATAGAAATTTTATTAATAGAAAGTGCTATTATTTAAACTTTGTTTTTAAGGCAAGGATGAAAATCTCTTCCCCATGTTTTGCTTTTTGAAACTTTGTTGGCATTTTAGAGATGCCAACATCTCTACTTTCTTACTTTATTTGGAATCCACATAAGGACTCTAAACCTCAAAGGCATGTGGGGATGAAAGGTTGACTGCTTCGATTTGAATTATAATTTTCAGGGATGTAGCACCTTTCATCTGGGAATTCAAAGCCATCCTCAAGAAATTGCATTTATTATTTCAACACCCCTTTGAGGCAGCTAGAGTTTACTTAGAGCTGGAGAGGCAGAAACACAAACAGGGAAAGAGAAAAGCTAAATACATATATTATATATATAATTATATATTTATTACATATAGTATATATTATATCTATTATATATATTTACTATATATTATATTTACTACATGTATCTATTATATTTACTATATATTATATATTTACTGTATATAATAGATGTAATGTATACTACATAATAAATATATAATTTATATAGAAAATATATATAGTAGATATATATCATATATAATAAATGTACAATTATATATTATATATATTTATTATATATTATATATATATACACAAGGCCAATGAACACCCCAATTTTCCATTCTGCTCTTCTGCAATTAGAACTTGCTCTGCCTAGAATGAAAAGACTATGAATGGAAGTGTTATTTAAGAAGCTTTATATTTAAGGGCTCAGTTTCTGTGCATGCCAAACTTTTCTGTGAAATAATACAAAAAGGAATACGAGGAGAGAGAGAAAAGAGACAAGTTTTGTAAACGGACGGCAAAAAGGTTTATCAGAAGACAGTAAGTAGATTAGTAATAAGGCAGTCTTTTATAATGAATGCAACTCGTTATATCCAATATTCAAGCAAAACATGTCGACTTTACTTAAGCTCTGTCTTGGAAACACTTTCTTTCCTCTCCATTATCAATGAATTACCATCAGAATCTTTCCTTTGGATTGTTACAACAGCCTCAGAGACCCACCCGCAAATCTCTCCTCTACCCATCCAATATTCACCTACAGCCAAAGAGATTTGTCTAAATATGGCTCTTTTCTACTTAAAATTATTTCTTGACCTATTTATAGAGCCACAGAACAATAAAGACTTTTGCTTGGGACAGAAGCACCCTAACTAAAGTGGCCTCAACATAAATTTTGTCCACATTGATTGAAGTTTCTTCCATCCATGATCCCTACCCCCACTTCGAACCCTGCTTTATATATTTCTACCAGATTAAACGTTTCCTTCTCCTTCAAATACACAACAGAACACTTCCCCCATCGTCTCCTGTGAGCATCCTATCTTCAGCCTGCTATGTTCTTTTCCACCTTTCTGTGTCTAACTTGGAAAACTGCTATTCAGACTTAATACCCCTGTTCAAAGATCACCTTGTTAGTGCAGAAGACTTGCTTGCTGGTGTGTGTGTGTGTGTGTGTGTGTGTGTGTGTGTGTTTCTTTCCACCCACTGAAATTTTGCTGTTATTTATAGGTTTGCTTTATGATCTTCCCTGTTAAACTTTAATTTTTTTATGGCAATATTGCATCTCACTCACCTTCAGATTGCCTGTATGGATGTCAATGCCTAGAGCAGAATAAGCTGGAATAAGTATATAGCTGCACATAAACATTTATAAATGCAATTAATAAATATCTGTAAACAACTCTTTATTTTGAGAAGTATCCAACCCAGTGCTATGTATGTGTACAACAGCTACCATATGTGTCCATTCATATTTCAATACAGTGTTCCCATACACACCAATGGATCCCTATGGCAAACCCCTGCAACTGTTTTCCAGATTTTTGGGGGGGTCATAACAACATACTTAGTGTTTAAAGTAGAATGGCAAGGAGACGACTCCTGAAGAAATAGCTTCCTGAAGAAATCCCCATCAAGAATGGGGATTTGCTGTGTAAATACTCCAGCCTCCTTTTCCTTCAGTGGAAACCACACTGAGAAAATTTTATGCTATCTCCCAGAGGTTTTCAGAGTGATTGAGACTGTGTTTTCTAAAGCAGTAACCTGCTAAATACTCTGTATTGATGGCTATCATCTCCCTGTCTTACTCTTCACTTTTCTACTAGACATTTCTAAGTTCTCTGTCACTGAAACCCTTGTCTCAGGACTTACTTCTGGAATAACTCATCTTAAAACAAATAGTCATTCTCAACCCACATGACCCTCATCCTTGATCAATTACACTGATCTGACATTCCAGGATATCTCCTACAGTGTTTGGTAGGAGGGTACCATGATGCCATGCAATGGGGAATCTGTTTTGAGTTTAAACTTCAAACAGAAAGTGAGTCTTCAGATCCAAAGGATTTTAAAATACCTCTCTTGTTGCCATAATGTGCAGAATGTCATTCAGGAAAGAATCCAGTGATCCAGGAAAATTGAGACAGGATAGAATACACACTCAGTTTAGAGAGACAACTGTAGGGTCAAGCCGAAGGAATTTCTAGCCTTAATAGGGAAAGCAGGAAGCTAGCACTTTGCACAACAAATTAGAGGAAAATGAAACATCAATAAAAATCAAGTGATAAAGGGTGTTCATTTTACACCTTCTTCAGTTAACATTGAGAGTAAGGATTCTTAAAAACAAGAAAAAAAAACTCTTAAGCACAGAAAAGCTTAAGATAAGCTACTGGGTTGCATCTAGGAGGAAGCACACATGGACACAAATGAAAAAGTAGTAACAGACATATCCCAGATTTGGGCATGGCATGTGGCATATAGCTGGCATGCAACTATATGAATGAAGTTCATGTTAAATCAGGAAAGAGTCTGCCCATTAGGCTATGCTAGCTAATTCTAATTTTCAAAATGCAAGCCCTGTGGCACCTGCCCCAGGATCAGCAGAGAAACTTGTTTGTAATGCAGATTTTAAAACCTCACCTAGAATTACTGAATCTGATTTTCTCAGCAGTGACCTTGACAAAATAATCATCACAGCAAATTAATAGCTAATATTTACTGAATATTTATTGTTTGCCAGGCACTGTTCTAAGCACTTTACATGTATTAATTATCTTTAAATCCATAAAATTCCAATAAAATAAATAGAACTGTTAACCATAGCATTAACCACATTTTGACAGTGATGTACTTGATGCAAAGAGAGGTTAAATAACTTTTTCAAGGTTACATAATTAGTAGTGAAAAAGCTAGGATTTGAATACAAGATGCTAGATTCCATAATCCATGCTCTAAACCAAAACACTACATTGTTTCTCCCTTAAAATTATTTATCGCAATGCCTAATCTGTTTATGTATCAGGGTAGTTGTGAGGTCACTTGTATTTATCCGCTCTCATGCTGCTATGAAGAAATACCCGTGACTGGGTAATTTATTAAAAAAATAAAAAAAAAAGAGGTTTAATTGACTCAGTTCTACCCGGCTGGGAGGCTACAGCAAACTTATAATCATAACGGAAGGCACCTCTTCACAGGGTGGCAGGAGAGAGAATGAATGCCAAGCAAAGGGAGAAGTACCTTATAAAACCATCAGATCTCATGAGATCTCACTCACTATCATGAGAACAGCGCAGCATGGGAGGAACCACCCCCATGATTCAATTATCTCCACCTGGTCCTACCCTTGACATGTGGGGATTATTACAATTTGAGATGAGATTTCAGAGGAGACACAGAGCCAAACCGTATCAGCACTCAAGATACACGTTATAATGCACACATAGGGAAGGGTATTCTGTGAGGCACAAATATTTATTAACTCTAAGCATGATTTATTTACCAGGCATCCAAAAAAAAAAGCCAAGTAAGAGGGAAAGAGCATGAAAATGACAACATTAATGATAACATTAATGATAACTGTAACCTACACTCACATTTACTTCTATGGTCATTAAAGGCACTTTTCTCTAATGTTGACCTAATTTTAATTTCTTGTATACCTTGGAAATTATATAAGGCAGGTATCATCATCATTCTCATGGATATGAAAACTGAGTCTCAATAAAGTTAAGTGACTTATCTTGGCTACACAGTTGCTATGGAAGGGATCCATAATTTAAATTTAGCTTTGAAATTTGGCATTTTGTTCATTGTAGGGTAAAAAACATCAATGAAAGATACAGCGCATCGGGGAATGGGAAACAATGAAAATATTGTAAAGTCTTCCATAGTTTGATCTCACTGCTTCAGTAGAAAGAAATTTGTTGATAGGCTTTTAGAGATGATTACAAAACACTATGCAAATAAATTACAAAACTTTTGAACTGTTTATCTGGTTCTTTATAAAATTGCACAGTCTGTAGTTCATGTAGTCTACCAACAGGTGTAGTGCTACAATCCATTCATTAGAATCTGATCAAAATATTTTCAAAGTTGAAATGTTTTAAACTTGCAGGCTTTGTGCCTTGCAGACTGAAATTTTTTAATTTTTAAATTAAAGCTTTAAAAAGGCTTGCAATTCCCAGCCAAATTTAGATTAAACACAACATTTAAAGGTGGTAAACTAATGTTAAATGTTCACAAAGGAAAATTTCACCTATATCACGTTAAAATGTCCCAGTGTTTCCTCCTCCATGCTTTAAACATGAAAGATCCCCCTCCTTTCTTTCATGTCCCTCATGCATACACTCAAATATGCTTACATTCTTTGGTTCCCAAACTTACCACCTGTATTTATTATTCTATATCTGCACCTTTTATTTATTTTGCTAGCAAGAGTCTTTCTCTCTTCTCCTCCCCTCTCCTTTCTCTCCTTTCCTTTCCTCTCCTCTCCTTACTTATTTCTTTTCTCTCTCCACACTGACAGTTTCCACAATTAACTTAAATCAGCTTCCAGACTAAAATGGTTGAATTCTCTGGAATCCTGATGCAATATTTTATCAATCTCTATTAGTACTCTTCTCACATAAGTACAACTGTGAGTAAGCATTTGTCAGACTCATTTCAATGTGTGTTCTTTGAAGGCAGGAGCTGAACCTTGCTTATACCTAATAGAAGTTCTAGTGCAAGTTGATAGATGGTAGGTTCCCAGGTCATGATTATCTAACATGAACTGAATACTGATACTGTATTTCTTTCTCTGTGTCTTTAATAAAACCATTTGAGCTGTCGTAATGTGAAGTTAGAAGGAGCTGTCAGTTCCCCTCTTCAATGACAAGTATCAGGCCAATATGTGATTTCCTCATAGGATATTGTCCAAATGTGACTAATATTCAACAAATTGTTCACAAGCAAGCCTTGCCCTGACTTTCATTACGAATTCTGTAACGTAATTGCAAGTGGTCCTGCCAACCCTAAAAGATGTGAATGCACATAAACTACATCAACTCATGCCTCATTGCTTATTCCACAGAGGCAGCTCAATGCCTTTATTCACATTCTCTGAATCTGTAATTTCTGCTGCACATTCCTGCTGCCTTTACTTGCTCTGTTTACCTCTTCCCTTCGAACTCCCATGCACAACGTCACTGGCCTCAAGAAGAATTACAAAGCATACTTAACTCTTAGAATCCTCTTGTTAGAAGATGTAGGTAAGAAGTAGTATCTAGGCCGGGCGCGGTGGCTCACACCTGTAATCCCAGCACTTTGGGAGGCCGAGGTGGGCAGATCACGAGGTCAGGAGATTGAGACCATCCTGGCTAACACGGTGAAACCCGGTCTCTACTAAAAAATACAAAAAAGTAGCAGGGCGTGGTGGTAGGCACCTGTAGTCCCAGCTACTCAGGAGGCTGAGGCAGGAGAATGGCGTGAACCCGGAGGCGGAGCTTGCAGTGAGCCGAGATGGCACCACTGCACTCCAGCCTGGGCGACAGCGCGAGACTCCGTCTCAAAAAAAAACAAAAAAAAAAAAACCAGAAGTAGTATCTACTAAAGACTATGTACAGTATGAGCCAGAATCATATGGAGGAGAAGGGTATAGCAGACTTAAAGAAACCTCTTTTTTTACTTTGAGGTGAGGAACCTTCTCTTTTCATGGCACTGAACTACTGCCTCCTAACCTTCATGTTTGTATAAAGTAGGGTTACAATGTGTATACACAAATATACATAACCAACCATTATCAGAGAAAAGTAAATGAGCAAAGCCGACTGGCCCAAGACAATAGGGTGTGGGTTCACAGCTAACTAAAGGATATATGTTTATTCTGATAACACCCCACTTCATTTTTAAACACTTTATGGGCTAAACAAAGTGTATTAATGGTCAGATTGATTCCCTATATCATTATTTTGCAACCAAAGACTAGCTAATCTACCTAAATTCTTCTGTAATCTCTAAAATCAGAAATAAAAGATATTACATTGTAATGGCATAAAGTGATAAAAATAAATTAAAGATAGTTTAGAGAAATAAATGAATTAAGATTCACAGAGGGTCAACAAAGAAAAATAGATAAATAGGGCAATATAACAAGTATA
This sequence comes from Homo sapiens, assembly GCF_000001405.40. Taxonomy (NCBI): domain Eukaryota; kingdom Metazoa; phylum Chordata; class Mammalia; order Primates; family Hominidae; genus Homo; species Homo sapiens. The sequence continues at coordinate 136,587,967 of NC_000008.11, read as the reverse complement.
AGGGCAACTTGATACTTGATTTTTTTCTTACTACTTCTTTCTCCTTCTTTTGCTTTTAATTATATATTTATAAATAAGAAGGAGATACCATGGTAAATATATAAAATGCATTAAAGTTATAAAAATCATTGTAAAACAAGCCATCCAGTTAAAAATATAACTGTTGACTTTAAAGTTCTATTTATGCCTTTTTGAAATTAAATTACTAATTGCCTCCCTTCAAAAATAACCACTGTCTTGATATTTGCATTTATGATTCTCTTGCTTTGTATTCATAAATAACTAATGTTTTTAAAATCTCCATAAATGGTAGAATATTCTATCTGTTATTTTACAACATGCTTCTTTTTCTTTGCTTGACCTTATGATCCCAATATCTATCCATGCTTTTCATTTGCATGTACTACTGAGAACTACACTGCTTTTAGCTGTACTCAGAAGTGCAAGGCTCTTGGTGTATTTGTGCAAGAGTTTCTCTAGAGTCATAGCCATAGAAGAGGAAGCATGGAGTGACAAGTATATTGGAAACCTTGTTCAATACTGCACAAACTCTTGCTGTCACCTCTGGCTCTAGAAATGGCCCACAGGGCCGGGCACGGTGGTTCACACCTGTAATCCCAGCACTTTGGGAGGCCGAGGTGGGTGGATCATGAGGTCAGGAGATCGAGACCATCCTGGATAACACAGTGAAACCCCCGTCTCTACTAAAAATACAAAAAATTAGCTGGGAGTGGTGGCGGGCACCTGTAGTCCCAGCTAGTTGGGAGGCTGAGGCAGGAGGATCTCTGGAACCCGGGAGGCGGAGGTTGCAGCAAGCCAAGATCACGTCACTGCACTCCAGCCTGGGCAACAGAGTGAGACTCCGTCTCGAAAGAAAGAAGGAAAGAAAGAAAGAGAGAGAGAGAGAAAGAAGGAGAGAAAGAGAGAGAGAAAGAATGAAAGAACGAGAAAGAAAGAAAGAAAGAAAGAAAGAAAGAAAGAAAGAAAGAAAGAAAGAAAGAAAGAAAGAGAAAGAAAGAAAAAAATGGCCCACAAGTTAATCTGCTTTGTGTTGACAACATGTCACCTTAAAGGGGCATCACAGATCTCTCATTTCTTGCTTCTGGGATTTTCTGAAGAATCAGCATGAGACATCTGCAGGAACCTGCTCAGCACTCACTGTACTTTCCTGTATATATGCCTCTCTCTTAGGCCAAAACACTCACCTGGTATGTATAACTCTGATGTTACCATATAAAGGCAACTGTTTTCAGACGTTATTGAACAATTTACACTCTAATCAGCAGTGCTTAGGATATTGCATCTCAGTCAAAATATAATACTGTCAGGTGCTATGCTTTCTAGTTTTACCAATCTGACAGCTTTGACGTGATTTTTCATTAATCATTTCCCCGAGCACAACTAAGGATGGCCCCCTTTTCACACATTTTGGTAGCCACTTAGAACATTTGTCTGCGTGGTTGACATTTTGTGGAATTGAAGCCATTATTTATACATTTTAGGTATAGACATTTTTTGTGTTACAGTTGAAACACCAACCTCTCATAGTGTGCACTTATGTTTTCTCCCTCTTTATATATTTTGATGAGCTAGTGTATCATATTTATTGCCATGAAAATTACTAATATGCTGCTTTGCTTTTGGAATATCTTGGATCTTCACTTAAAAACTTTCTCCCGGCTAGGCGCAGTGGCTCACTCCTGTAATTCCAACACTTTGGGAGGCTGAGGCGGGCAGATCACTTGAGGTCAGGAGTTCGAGACCAGCCTGGCCAACATGGCGAAACCCTATCTCTACTAAAAATACAAAAATTAGCCGGGTGTGTTGGTGAGTGCCTGTAATCCCAGATACTGAGGCGGCTGAGTGGGGAGAATCACTTGAACCTGGGAGGCGGAAGTTGTAGGGAGCCCAGATCATGCTACTGTACTCCAGCCTGGGCGACAGAGCAATATTCCGTCAAAAAAAAAAAAAAAAAAAAAAGTTTCCTCCTAGAGTGAGGTCAAAACAATTTTTAAGGTAAAAAATAGTTTCCATATTACTTTTTACAAGTTAGATAATTTCACTCTTCACTTTCAGGCCATTAAGTCTAAAACAAATCATTTTGCACCATGTGAAGTAGGGCTCTGATTTCATTTGATTTTAATATGGAATACCAACTTACCCAGAACCATTCATACAAATATTCTTTCTCCCACTAGGTTGGAAATGTCAGTGATTTTATGAGTGGACTTTGCAAACAATTAGGAAACTTGACTTCTGCATTTATTTTGTTCTATGAATCTTATTCTTCATTTTATGTCAAAAACTTAGTGTCATAACTCAGCTAGGTTCACAATAATATTTATTATTGGAAAAGGAAAATCTCTCATATTCTTTATTTGCTACAAAATATGTATTTATTATTCTTGACTCTTTTTATTTCTGTATTTTATAGTCACCTTGACAATTTCTAAAAAACAAAAATCTGTTGAAATTTGTTGATTTTTTTTAAATTGTGGTTTTATTTGGGAAAAATTGATAGCTTTAAATATTTAACTTTTTAATTATGGAATTTTATTATTGTCTATGTGTATTAATGTCTTTACTGATATCTTTTAAACTGTTTTATAATTTTCCTGATAAACAAAACTTTCATGAGATTTATTTCTAAATTGTGTGCATATATTTTAATGTCACTTTAAAAGTATCATTCTAAGTTAAATTTTAAAGCATTTTTGCTGATGAGATGTGATTAATTTTTTTATTTAATATTTCACCTGAGTTAATAATCTCTTTTAATTCGAATTGTATACCTATAGATTATATTATTTTAAGCACCCATATTATCACTTAGAAATGAGAAGTTTTGAAAATTTTGTATATGTTACTTTTCTTTTTATTTCCCCATAAAACTTGCTAGGATATCCAATACAATGATGGGTATAGATACTGCAAAGCTTCATGCTTTTTTCTAATCTTAAAGGGAGTGTGTACTACTAAATATGTTTGTGTATCTATTTTTGTGAATATTTTTCATAAGGTTAATGAAGTTTCATTCTATTCCTGTAATAGCCAGAATTTTGTTTTACTTCTTTTTTTAATCAATGGCTGTTGAATTTTATCAAATACTTTCATTGTATCTATTGAGATAATCATATTATTTTTCTCAGCTAGTGTGTAAAGGTGGTATTAGGGAGACCCCCATCCACATAAGAAAATACTAACTCCATCATTCACACACAGCTAAACTCCACTTCTGTTTTTCTGTCAGTTGGAAATGGCCAGATGGTTGGGTTTTGGCTAACAGAATGTGAATAGCAATAAACCATATCACTGTCAGACTTAGCCACTAGAAATCACTTGTGTTTTCTCCTCCAAGATCTTTCTCATTTCCGGTCTGTGACATATTCAAAGCAAAGGTAGCAGAGCCTCCCACAGGTCTAGTCCCTGAAAGATGATATGAAAAAATACTTCCAAAATGGTAAAGTAAGAAACTCTAAAAATTTACTCCTCAAAAGAGCAATGAGAAAACTGGCAAAATTGACAAAATCCACTTTTTCAGAACTCTGAAAACTAATCAAAGACTTAGAACTCTCTGAGAAGCGCTGATTCAAGAAAATTAGCTGAATCCCTATTGGAACAGTGAGCTTTGTGGCATTTAATATTTCCTTATTGCCTTATATGCCTCTCTAGAGCTCCAAGTGGCATTGATTACCAGTAGCCTCACAATCATGGCAGCTGTGGCAACAAGCAGCCAAGAAGGTTCTCGGTGGGTATAGGGTGTCTTGGCCCTCCCAGAAGTCCCAATCCAAAGAATTTTCACTCTTTTACCTAGAGTAACTCCCTGAAAAAACTTATTTGAGACTTGCCTTATTTGACCATAGTCAGACCTTACTCAGTAAAAATGCCCTCCCCAGGTGTTTGTTAAAAATGATTCCAGGCAATTATTTAACACCCTCACTGTTTAGAACAGTAAAACGAATCAGCAAAAAACAAGTGATTGAACAAACATTTGAAAAGAAAACCTGTGTAATGAGATATCCAGGGAGATCTGAAAAGCTTTGGCATATTCCTGGAATCTAGAAGACTAAGCACATGTGCAGGGACGCATACTTGTTCAGGAAAGGCCTGAGAAAGCTCTATTTTCTCACCTGTGTCTGATTTTGACACTACCCACAAGCAAGGTGTGAAAGCCAAGGATGAGTTTAACCTGACTGAGCATTAAAGAAGTGCCTCAGCAAACATAGAGTGCTTACAGCCTCGCCACTATCTATTATATTTTGACTTTTTAATAATAGTCATTCTGACTGGTGTGAGATGGTATTTCATTGTGGTTTTGATTTGTATTTCTCTAATGATTAGTGATGTTGAGCATTTTTTTTCATGTGCTTTTTGGCCACATATGTCTTCTTTTGAAAAGTGTCTGATTCTTAGCAAACTAATGAGGGAACAGAAAAGCAAATATTGCATATTCTCACTTATAAGTGGGAGCTAAGTGATGAGAACACATGAGCATATAGAGGGGAACAACACACACTGGGGCCTATCAGAAGGCAGAGGGTGGGAAGAGGGAGAGGATCAGAAAAAATAACTAATGTATGCTAAGCTTAATAACTGAGTGATGAAATAATATGTTCAACAAACCCCCATAACCCACATTTACCAGTGTAGCAAACCTGCACATGTATGGCTCAACTTAAAATAAACGTATTAAAAAAAAAGAAAAGCATCTGTTCATGTACTTTGACCACTTTGTAATGGGGTTACTAGTGTTTTGCTTGTAAATTTGCTCATGTTCCTTATGGATTCTGGATATTAGACCTTTATCAGATGCATAGATCACAAATATTTTCTCCTATTCTGCAGTTTGTCTGTTTATTCTTTTGATAATTTCTTTTGCTATACAGAAGCTCTTTAGTTTAATTAGGTCTCATTTCTAACATACCCGACGTTCAAGAAATACTAACGTGATCCTACAGGCTGAAATGGAAGGACACTGGTTTGTAACTCAAATCCATATAAAGGAATAAAGAACAGCAATTAACACTCTCAATAAAGGTAACTACATAGGTATATATGGAGGACATTATAATGTATTTTTTAAGTCTTCTCTCTGATTTTAAGATACACTGCAGAGAGCAATAATTATAAAATTATGTTGGTGGTATTAAAATATACAAACTGCAATTTGCTTGAAAATAACATAACTTGAAAGGCAATAAAATTTTATTGGTTCAACTTTTTAATACTGTTGAATTTAATTTATAATTAATCTAAACTAGATTATTTTCAAGCTATGATAATTATAATCCCCTATGGATTATAATTATAATAATAAAAATTAGGCTGTATGGAGAAATAATTGTGCTTTCTAAAATAGAATATACACCTTGCACTGTTAAACATAAATAAATTTTGTATTATTTGAACTATTATGTGTTTTCTTTATTTGTTTATTGATTTATTCCTGTGTTTACAGTTACATAGACTAATACATATGCTAAATAACATTGTTAATATTTTTGGTATCAAACTTTCCTTGACCTGAGATAAACTGAAATTAGTCACAATGTATTGTGCTTTTTATTTGTTGCTAGACTCAGCTGGTAAATAAAACTTAGTGGGGGTTTTGGATTCATGAGGAGATTAGTGTACAGTTTTCATTATTCTTAAAGGCTTTATCAGATTTTGACTAAAACGTGATATGTTAACCGTATAAATCAAAATAGAGTGTTATTGCCATTTTCATTTTCAATAATTCTCTAGAATTATTTATATAAATTGGATTTTTTGTTTTATGAAGGTAATATGTAACAGTAAAGCTCTCTACATTATTATTTTTATGAGCATATTTTAAACTACTGTCTGTTTTTATTTTTATAGGACTATTCACATTTTTATTTCTTCTTGAATCAATTTTACTGAGTTTCACTTTTCTAGACAGTTGATTCTGTGAAAATTTTTTCAAATTATTATATTTTTAAAACATCCTCTTATTAAATCTATCATGTTTGTAGTAGCTGCATTTCTATCTAGTTTTAAAATCCTAATATTGATATTTCACCTTTTATATATTAATCAAATTTTTAACACATTTGTTTTTCATAAGAAACAAATTTGGTTTTGTATATTGTTTCAAATTTTTGTTAGATTTATATTTTATTAATTTTGGTTTGGTTTTCATGCACATTATTTTATTCTACCTTCTTATGCTGAGTTTATTCTCTTCTTTACATAAATTCCTTAAATCAGATGCATAGGTCATTAATTTCAAACTGTATCCTGTAATAAAAATACTAAAACTACAGTGAGCCTGTAGGACTCACTAAAACTTTTTTATTAAAATACTGCTTTAGTTCCAACATGGAGTTTTTAAATATGATATGATCAATATTTTTCAATTTATATTATAAATAATTCCTGATGTATTTGTGATTTATAGGTGCATTTTAAACTTCATTTTTGTTACAAATTTTTGTCAAAGTTACATGTGCTCAGCAAATATATTCTGTAAGATGCCAATCATTTTACATTTTTGAGATGAGGTGAGCTCTATGGCTACTATGTGCCCATATTTTGAAAATGATTTATATGTACTGAAAATAACATATATCAGGCAAATGCTAGATGTTTCATATATGTCCATTAGATATCATGTTTTTCAGATAAAATATATAATGCCCTGTTAAATTTGAATTTTGAATAAATATTTTTAGTACTAATACAGCCCAAAATATTTAACTAAATACAAAATTAAGTAAACATCCTGCTTTGTTTTTTCTTTGCTAAATTAGGCAATGTTAATTAAATCAATCCTATTAATTTTGTTCTAAGCTTCTATATTATTTTTGCCTTCTTGATCTGTGATTGAGAAGAGAGTGTTAGAGCTTTTCGCATAATTTTGGATTTGTTAAAGTCTTCTTTTACTTATATCAAGCTTTGTTTCATATAATTTGAGGTTATATCATGCCATACATTAATACTGATTTTTTTTATGTTTCAAGTGTGTTTAATAGATTTTTCAAAATTCTTTGCTGATCCTCTTAAGATCTAGTAATGATTTTTGTCTTGCATTCTATTTCCTTAGTGTCAACATAGCTATAGCAGCTTTTTATTTCTTTGTATTTAATTAATTCAACAAATATTTATTGAATGTCTATTAAATGCTATGCTCATATCAAAGAAAAATGAAACACAAACACAGAAAAAATAAGTCCCTGATCTCCTAAGACATTATAATTGTGCAAGACAAATTAATAAACTATATACTGAATTTTATTGTGATACATGCTTTAGAAAATAATTAGAGAAGAACGGGAGTACCAAGGTTGGCCTCACTGAATTTACAATATATAAGAATTAGATTCTGAGTTTTGACCTGGGCGTCTTTGGTTTATTTTACTGATTCATGAAAACAGGTGATGAAAACTTTGTGTTTAGTTCTGATGGTTCAAAAGTCAAGCAGATGTAGTGAGGTTGTCAGTATTAGAGGATGTGGTGATAGGGTCCATGCTAGAGTGACTAGAAGTTCTAGGGCCACTTCTCCATTTCCACTAATAATAACTGGATGGTGAGAAGTGAGTGGCGCTCTCAGAACACAAAAGATGCTAACTTCTCGATTTTTGACCATGGTATTAAGGATGGACATAGGTGCATACATCAACAGAGAGGGCAATATTAAAATATAACAAAACTCATAAAAGTAAAAGTTGCCCTTCATTAATTCCAGTGCCAGTATTTCTACCTTACGCTTTTTTTATTTTAAATTTTTCGTGTATTTTTGAGACAGGGTCTCTCTCTGTTGCCCAAGGTAGAATGCAATGGTTGTGCTCATGGCTCACTGCAGCCTCGACCTCCTGGGCTCAAGCAATCTTCCTGCCTCAGCCTCCCAAGTAGCTGGGACTACAAGCATGTACCACCACACCCTGCTAATTTTTTTACTTATTTTATTGATTTATTTATTTGCACAGACAAGTCTCACTATGTTGCCCAAGCTGGTCTTGAATTCCTGGGCTCAAGTAATCCTCCCACCTTGGCCTCTCAAAGTGCTGGGGTTACAGGTATGAGAAACCACACTCAGCTTTAAATATTTATTAAATAATGGTATAGATGAACAATATTGAGCACACTGAAATTACTTTTTTAAACTTAAATCTCGTTCTCGTAAAAAAAGAAAAAACACATTTCAAAAGTGCCTATAATGTAAATAGCCAACTTAACACATTTTTACACCTTGAGAACTAATGTAACCGTTCCAGTCCAGATATATATTAACAATCATTCAAGAGTCCTCCTCATGACCTACCCAATCGCACACTCTGAGTCTTCAGTTTGCCTTATTTTGTTTCTTTGACTCGACATGATGCTAATGAAATTCATCCAAGTTGCTTGAAAGTGCTGTGATTCATATTCTAACTGTTAGTTACTATTCCCCTGTTTGATTACACCACATTTTTAGTACTTATGGATACCTGGGTTGTTTCCAGTTTTGTGCTAATATGAAGAGTCATAATATGAACAGTTTTAGCACGTCTCCTTGGACGAATATGTACTTTTTCTATTGATTATGAAGAAGTTCTGGAATGGCACAGCCACAGGATATAAGTTTCCACAGATTTAGTAGATTATGCCACCTTTTTTCTAAAATATTTATACAAAATTTACCTTCTATCCATATAGTCTGAGCAGTGTATTATTACTCCACATCTCTACAACTTTTGGCACCAATGCATTTACTCATTCATTCATTATTCATTTTCAACAGCTACTGAGTAGGTAGTGCTATCTAATTGTACTTTCCTGATTGTTAATAAAGTTGACCACTTTCTCATAAGTTTATCTGTCATTCGTATTTTCCACCTTGTGAAGTGTGTCCTTTTCTAGCACATTATCTGTTGTTTTCTAATTGGTTTGTGCTAGACAAGTATGTATCTGTATAACAGTGGTTGTTCTTAAGATTATATTTTGATGCACATTAGCTCTTAATTTGATGAAGGTAACCTTATCAATAATTTCCTTTACCAACTGGGATCACATATTGCGTGACAAGCCTTTCATTTTCTGAGATCAGGAAGATATTTTCTTGAAGTCACACAGAAAGTGAGTGGCTAAGCAGGTGAAAATCTGAGTCTGAGGGGTTCCAATGACTGTGACCTTCTCACACTGCCAGCAAGACATTTGCTCCATCTGAAAACAAAGCAAAGCAGAAACAACTTCCCCCAAACAAAAACGTATGCACTGGAAATGTGCAGCGGTCATTATCAGAGTTATACAATGTACAGAGTGTGAATGAATCCTTTGTAATTTCTCTCTTTTTTTTTTTTTTTTTTTTTTTTGAGACAGAGTCTCGCTCTGTCGCCCAGGCTGGAATGCAGTGGCGCGATCTCGGCTCACTGCAAGCTCCGCTTCCCGGGTTCACGCCATTCTCCTGCCTCAGCCTCCCGAGTAGCTGGGACCACAGGCACCTGCCACTACGCCTGGCTAATTTTTTATATTTTTAGTAGAGTGCTTTGGGAGGCTGAGGCAGGCAGATCACGAGGTCAGGAGATCGAGACCATCCTGGCTAACACGGTGTCATTTCTTACTAATGAGTTAGACACAGCCTTGGATGAACAAGAAGGAATAAACAAGTACATCAGAACAGTCTGTTTAGTCGAATTGAACGAATTCAGCAGCCTCTGGGACTGGGTAGTGTTCAGTAAATTATCTTTGCCCATGAACTAAGTGGCACCCCTTAAAGAGTTCATTCACCTCACATGGAATAGCAGTTTACATCAGATAACAGATTCTTCACCTCCATGATCCCGCCGGCTGCTATTATCTCAGAGATCTGTCACTGTCCTTTCACTTACATTTCCAGATCAGGCGGGGGAATTGGATGGCTTTGAACGCATAGCTAGTTTTTCCTTTGCCAATCTTTCAGACATGAATGTGCATATGGTGAACTGCTTTATGGAGGGAAAAGAGCTGGTTTAGAATATGTTTTGAGGGATGGAGGACACACTGTGTTCTTATTTAATGCAGCATATCACCATGCTGTGCTGTGATTTTGAGTTACTAGAAAAAAATTAAACAAAACATATTTACAATTAGTACATTAGTTGTAGTAATTTCACCTTCGTAACTTGTATTACTATCTTGTACTCCATACTTTATGGCCATGTGCATTAGGATGCTTCAGGTTGCAAGTGCTCTATCTTTTATATTTCAAACTTTGAAACACACGCACACACACATATACATGTATATACACACATACATATGCATATGTTAATCTGCTTAATCTTCATTGAGCAGATGATAGATGCCAGCCTCATTTAAAATTATGTAGGAATTGAGGTATAGGGCCATTAGCCATGCCTGAGTTCACACAACTGCTAAGTGTTAGAAATGAATTTAAACGTATATTGGTATGAAGTCCATGCTCTTAAAGACTATACGAAGGTACTAGTACCTTGCACTGAATGGACAGAGATCAAAAGTTTGTTAGGTAAAAAATATTTAGGCCAAATGACTTGATGTTTGAAAAATACATTGCAGGATATGAAATTCCAGAGTAACAGCAAAATGAGGACAAATGTTAATAAACCAATTCAACACATGTAAAACAAGACACAATCAATAAATGGAACTGGTCACATAGTTTAATATAAAGTTAAGATAAATGAACACCTAGATAGTTTATGCTTTGGCATGGTACCATTCTTGATCAATGTCATAGTGGAAATTATGTGTGTGTGTGTGTGTGTGTCTGTGTGTGTCTGTACAATAGTGCTTTATGACTCAAGTTGGATTTGGTCTTTACTTACACATATCCCTAGACACACAAATGGTGAGATAGTAATTATATTCTTCAATTTATGTGTGGGCAAACTGTCAGAAAGAGTCTAAGTGAAATTCTGTCTCAGTTTACCTATATGTAAATTTGAAAATATATTTATTTCCCCAACTTAACTTCCAAGGATCATAAAATCAATACGTAGTCAAGCCAGGATTTTAAACCACTTCCAGTCAGTGTTAAATTTAGTAAGTTTTCATCTGTATCTTGCTATACCCTTACCAAGGTGTGGCGATGCTTACTAGCTATTTCTGATATTGTTGGTGAAAGATCTCGTGTATCAGCAGAGACTGGAAATAAGGCTTGACAGAAGGTGCCTTCTACAGGCTAAGCTTTTGCAAGGAAATGCTCATCAGTTCCAAACCGATTAACAACTAGATATGAAACATGTGAGAGTCTAGCTGAGAACTCACTGCTATTTCTTTGTAATGCTCAAAATTACACAGAGAATCACTCACTCTCCTTTTGTGTAGCTATTGCTTCTGTTTCAAGTCATTTTAATTCCATTAAGTGTTTATTAATTTCCATTGCTTCTGAAACTCAATTTGGATTTTCAATGGGAATCAGACTTTCAATCTTCTTTTAAAATAGAAACTCAACTTTCTTGTTTTTGCTCTTGCAGGGAGGTATTTGAATCTTGTCTGGACTAGATGACACACATTTTTTAATTGGGAGTGGATACCTGGCCATTGCATTTCTGAAGAAAAATACTTTCTGACTATGAAAATAGGGAAGAAAAACAGCCTTTGTGTTTGACAAGGTTTATATTTCAGTTTTTGCACATAAACAGGACTTTTTCTGAGTGATGCCTGGAATCAGGTATCAGGGCTATGAAAGAAAAGAAGAAAATAAGATTTTTTAAGGTAGGATAATGGGGTTTGTTTCTAAAGTTTGAGATATTGGTGGTATGGTTTGGCTGTGTCCCCACCCAAATCTCATCTTGAATTGTAGCTCCCATAATCCTCAGTGTCATGGAAGGAACTTAGTGGGAGGTAATTGAATCATGGGGGTGGGTTTTTTTCTGTGCTGTTCTCATGATAGTGAATAAGTCCCACTAGATCTGAAGGTTTTATAAAGGGCAGTTCCCTTGCACATGCTCTCTTGCCTGCCTCCATGTAAGAAATGTTTTTGCTCCTCCTTCACCTTCTTCCGTGATTGTGAGGCCTCCCTAGCCATGTGAAACTGTGAGTCCATTAAACCTCTTTTTCTGTATAAATTACCCAGTTTCAGGTAAGTCCTTATAAGAGTGTCAAAACAGACTAATACAATTGGGGAGGAGGAAAAAGTTGGGAGAGATGGATGCAAGGGGTGTCAGGTGTCAGAACTGAATGTGTGCCCAAAGCGTGTGAATGCCTGCTGGCAGGTGCTTTGTGGTGGGTTGGCAGGAGGGCCCAGAAGAGGGGTGTCACTCAGATGCTTAGAAATACAATGGATTGGGCCGGGCGCGGTGGCTCACGCCTGTAATCCCAGCACTTTGGGAGGCCGAGGCGGGCGGATCACGAGGTCAGGAGATCGAGACCATCCCGGCTAAAATGGTGAAACCCCGTCTCTACTAAAAATACAAAAAAATTAGCCGGGCGTAGTGGCGGGCGCCTGTAGTCCCAGCTACTTGGGAGGCTGAGGCAGGAGAATGGCGTGAACCCGGGAGGCGGAGCTTGCAGTGAGCCGAGATCCCGCCACTGCACTCCAGCCTGGGCGACAGAGCGAGACTCCGTCTCAAAAAAAAAAAAAAAAAAAAAAAAAGAAATACAATGGATTGGTGTTCTCTCTTTAAGGAAATGGGGGTTTCATGTGCATCTGAGCACAGGTTTATGTTGGCTGAAAAACCCATGTTGCTGATAGCATAAGTGCCCTCACCAACCACAGTCACTTCAGGAGTATGAGTGATTCTGGGATGATGCAACAGTACCTTCCTCATCCCTCAAGGCACTTTCTGAGAATGACTCTGTGCAGCTTGCCCCCTTCTGATGCCAAGGACATCTGTAAAAATAAAAGGAGGCCCTTGCATCCCTGTCAAAGCAGGGAAGAGGTGACTCTTTCACTGTATCCTGGCTGCACCAGAGCACCCAGAGCTGGGGCAGAGCAGCTAGGGTAAGTATTTCAGAGACCATGGTGATTGTGCTGTAAGAAACCATTGACTGACGGAATGTGAACATTTGACAATTAACATAAAAGCTACTATGTGCCAGGAATGGCTATAACAACACTGGATCTTTTATGTTTTTAATTCTCATTTTTAAAAAATTCTCATGATTACCCAGTGAAATAGGTATTTACATCTCTACTTTAAGAAAAGAATGAGTTGGAACTGAGAGAGTTATAAAGTGTGCTTATAATCGCTTGCATTGGGCACAGCACCAGGATCAGACACTTTGTTTGGTTGAACATCAAAGCCCTCCTTCTCTTTGATGATGTGACACTGTTTCTTTGCGCTAATTCTCTGTGTGGCTTTAGGCAAGTCATTTTAAGTACTTTGGACCTCAAGCAACGTATTTGAAAGTGCAGAACAAAATGGCTGTCCATCACCATTCTTTGCAAGATTGCCTTCCAGTGTGGAGGTGTGAAGAGGTGGGCCACGTTTGCAATTTTTTCACCTTAAACACATGCAACCATATACTACTGAAAAACTATATTAAAACTGTTTATCTCTCTTGATCCTGCTTTGCTGTATGTGCTTTTCTTGGAGATTGAGGAAGGAGATGAGAGTGTATCAGTGTCACTAAGGCAAGAGCAGTCCTGCCGTAATATCGCTCTTGGATGAAAGGAACCTTTCCTTTGTGCCTGGTTTGTATTGGAACTGCTGTAGTTTCAAGTCTATCCTTCTTTCACCATCATCAAGAATCAGACAAGGCCTGAAGACATTTAGGGAATGCCTGATTGCTTCCTCTCCGTTCTGAGTTGGGTTGAGGGTCACGGCTGATGTGGGAAGAGCCAAAGGGGAAGCTTCTCAGGGTGTTTCTCACAGTGAATCATGCCAGCACTCTGCATCATCCTCGAGCTGTCCAGTTTGATTGATACCAAAGGCTTTATACATTGGAAAAAGATAACCCAAGATAAATTTCACAGCATTTGTAATGAGGCAGGAGAGGGTAAAAGATCAACAAACTCTAATGCTGTTCTAGAATTCTTCATCTGAATCAGCTCCAGGAAATGAAGGTCACACAGTGGTCAAGGAAAAATAATAGCAGGCTCTAAGTTTAAGTGTCCCTTAGATTTAACTAGTGAAGGGGGAAATAAAAAAGTGGAGCAAAAAAACACCCTTCACAATCCAAAATTCCTCTTCCCTAAGATGTCACTAATCCCTTTCAGCTGTGGCACTCAAGTGGAGAATGGGATGGACCCTTTGAAAAAAGTCTGGTGGCTGTCTCATGATGTGGGATATGTGTGGGGGTGTCCCCAGAGGCTGGGTTTTGTGTAACACTGTTACAACCCCATCTGGCACCATCTGGCCTCTCCCCTCCCATGTAAGAAGGTCAGACAAAACAAACAAACAACAACAACAAAAAAGAGATAAACAAAAAAAAACACCAAAGCTTTGACTTGCCTAAAGAAAAATACAGAGATTGAATGGGTCTCCATTTTTTATCTCTCCACACACCTTTGAAAGTATCCTTGCTCTTGAAGTCACGTAATTCATTAGTTAATCTTATGCTGGCATTGTACTGCATTTTCCTCTGTTGTCTGTGAGCCAGTCAGGCCTCTTTTGTGGGTTTATGTGTTCCACAATATGTACAAAGATGGTCAATAATAAGTTGAAAAGAAATAAAATGGAGCAATAAAAAGTTCAAGGCTTGACACACCACTAATTAATCATAAGGCTGAAAAACTATAGCAGATGGATATATACTAGATAGAAGAGGATTTTTTTCTTTGTGACTGGAAGTGGTACACCAAATCCAGGAGCATATGTGAGTCATATTTGAGAGAGGAAGGGACAACATGAAGAATTCTGCCTGAGAACCAGCTGTTGTGTATGAGACCAGAAATGAGTCTATTAAGAAAGGCTGTCTGAGGACAGACTGAGGGTTGATGGGAGAGATGGCTAGAAGACAAAGCTAAACAGCCTAAGTTGTAGACCATGATCAGTTAAAGTGAATTGTGAAGAGTATGATATAATTTGGAGACTTTATTTTCTACCAAAGAAATCCTGTGTTCCAGAGTGGGCTGGTGTCCTGAAAGCAGGGCTCAGCCCAGAATAGTGGAGGAGCTGGAAAAGAACTGAAGAACATGGGACAGTGGGTGATGGGAAGTCCCTCCCTGAAGAAAGTTTAGTAAGAGGATACAGAGAATGTCAAGATGTCAAATACAATCAGCCAGTTTGGTGGAAGCACAAAAAAGTTTGAAACAATGAGCATGCAGGCAAAGTCAGCAGAATCTAAAGCACTGAATGGTTCAGAAAGTGGGGAAGGGTATCAAAGTAAGGGAGAGAGCTTCACAGGAGGCCTATGTGAAAAGGGAAATGTTAAGGACATAAGAACACTGGGCTTGTGTGGATGTCAAATACTGGACCATTTTTCAAATTTAGTTCAGCTGTTTAATGGCAAAGAGATGGGATAGACCCTGCATAATGATGGAAATACAATCCAATTCCTTGAGCCACAGTTTTCTTACCCATAAGATAAAAAAGATAAATAAAGACACTCTATTAGTTCATGCTCATGTTGCTAATACAGACATACCCAAGATTGGGTAATTTATTTTAAAAAAAGCGGTTTAATGGACTCACAGTTCCGCATGGATGGGGAGGCCTCACAAAAATGGTGGAAGGGGAAGGAAACACATCCGTCTTCACATGAAGGCAGGAAGGAGAAGTGCCAAGAAAAGAGGGGAAAACCCCTTATAAACAGTCAGATCTTGTGAGAACTCAACTCACACATTATCACAAAAAACAGTAGCATGGGTTAACCACCCCCATGATTCAATTATCTCCCACTGGGTCCCTTCCATGACACATGGGGATTATGGGAACCACAATTCAAGATGAGATTTGGGTGAGGACACAGCCAAACCATATCATTCTGCTTCTGGCCCTTCCCAAATCTCATGTACTCATATTTCAAAAGCAATCATGCCTTTCCATCAGTCCCTCAAAGTTCTAATTCATTCCAGCATTAACCCAAAAGTCCAAGTCCAAAGTCTCATCTGAGACAAGGCAAGTCCCTTCTACCTATTCCACCTATGGGCCTGTAAAATCGAAAGCAAGTTAGTTACTTACTAGATATGATGAGGGTACAGGCATTGGGTAATAGCAGCCATTCCAAATATGAGAAATTGGCCAAAATGAAGAGGCTACATGCCCCATGCAACTCCCAAATTCGGTGGGGCAGTCAAACCTTAAACTCCCAAATTATCTCCTTCAATTTCATGTCTCACATCCAGGGGCACCGATGCAAGAGGTGGGTTCCAATGGTCTTGGGCAGCTTCACTTCCCTGGCTTAGCAGATACAGTCCCCACCTGGTTGCTTTCATGGGCTAGTGTTGAGTGTCTATGGCTTTTCCTGGCGACTGGGGCAAGCTGTTGGTGGATCTACCATTCTGGGGTCTGGAGAACAGTGACTCTCTTCTCATAGTTCCACTAGGCAGCGCCCAAGTGAGGACTCTGTGGGGGCCGCAACACCACATTTTCCTTCCACCCTGCCCTAGCAGAGGTTTTCCATGAGGGCTTGCCTCTACAGCACACCTCTGCCTGGACATCCAGGTGTTTCCATACATCCTCTGAAATCTAGGCAGAGGCTCCCAAACCTCAATTCTTGACTTCCGCACACCAACCAGCTCAACACAATGTGGAAGCTGCCAAGACTTGGGGTTTGCACACTCTGAAACAGCGGCCTGAGCTGTACATTGGCCCCTTTTAGTCACGGCTGGAATGGCTAGGAAGCAGAGCATCAAGTCCCAAGGCTGCACACAGCAGGGGGACCCTGGATCTGGCCTAGGAAACCAGTTTTCTCCCCTAGGCCTCCAGGTCTGTGATGGGACGGGCTGCTGTGAATGTCTCTGACATGATCTTGCCCCATTGCCTTGGTGATTAACATTTGGCTCCTCATTACTTATGCAAATTTCTGCAGGGCTTGATTATCTCTCCAGAAAAATGGGATCTTCTTTTCTATTGCATTGTCAGGCTGCAAATGTTTTTCAAAATTTTATGCTCTGCTTCATGCTAAATACTTTGCTGCTTAGAAATTTTTTCCACCAGAAACCCTAAACCATCCCTCTCAAGTATAAAGTTCCACAGATCTCTGGGGCAGGGGAAAAATGCCACCAGCCTCTTTGCATAGCAAGAGTGACCTTACTGCAGTTCCCAACAGATTTCCCATCTCCATCTGAGAGCACTTCAGCCTGGACTTCATTGTCCATATCACTATCAGCATTTTGGTCAAAGCCATTCAACAAGTATTTAGGAAGTTTCAAACTTTCCCACATTTTCCTCTCCTCTTATGAGCCCTCCAACTGTTCCACCCTCTGTCTGTTACCAAGTTTCATAGTCACTTCCACATTTCTGGGTATCTTTATAGTAGTACTGTACTCTCTGTGGTACCAATTTACTGTATTAGTCCATTCTCATGCTGCTATAAAGAACGGCCCAAGACTGGGTAATTTATAAAGGAAAGAGGTTTAATTAACTCACACCTCCCACCAGGTCCCTCTCTTGATATGTGGGGATTATGGGAACTACAATTCAAGATAAGATTTGGGTGGGGACACAGCCAAACCATATCAGACACTCTTCAACTTTAATTATAAGTATAAAATGAAATAAATGATGTAAACAATTGTGTTAATTTAAAAAAATAATTAATATGATTAAGTATTTTATTGTGTGCCAAGCAGTGTGTTTCACACATTTATTTTATCTATTTCTCCAAAACATAATGCTAGCTTACCTTGTTAAAGCCTTGTGACATAGGAATGCTGTTTATCCTCAGAGAAGTAGGCTCAGGGAGAAGCTGCGTAACTTATCATTAGTCACATAGCTAGTCGGTATCAGAGTTAATATTTGAATCCAGGAACTTCTTATGCCAAAGCTCAAGGTTTTGGCTACTAAATTGTGTGTACACTGAAGTTTTAACTTGTGAGACAGTTCTGGCAGGAGGATTTGTGCAAAAGGGTATTCTAGATGAAGGGCTGTATGCCAGTTATCAAACAGGGTTAATAAATTATCTGAACAGACCTGTCCTTCCTGGTTGACTTACATCCTGCCCTTTTACTGTCTTCCTTAGAGTTTAAAGGCATTATTTCTGACATTTATTTAGTATAGTAGCAAGACCTAAATGTTGTAACACTGTTCTATTACTTTCCGTTACATGAAGTAGAATATCAGAAGGTTCTTTTTTCCTTCCTTCATCATCTTTACAGTATAGATATTGAGTAGGAATCAACAGATACTTCTAATAATGATTAACATCTGTTTTGCCAATCCCTTTAGCTGTCGAAGAGTCAAAATCTGTAGATGTCCCTTGAGACCACTTCACATCCTGAAAGTATATGGACCTGTGATTTACTGAGTTTTCCCTACTTTCCCTCAAAAAAATGCGCAAGACAAAAAAGAATGTTTAAGATTTGATTACTTCCCATAATGAGCAACTTTAAAATATTGATGTGAAGATACAATCAGACATTTTTGCTTGTCCTCTATTATTTTTACTTGCACATATTTAACATTAAATAAGGCACAATATTTCCTTACTGCCTTTCTTTTCCCTTATCTTGGTAGCATAAAATATATTGCATTAACATTTAGACTCATGCATATAATAAACACTCAGGGGTGGTCTGACATGTGGTAATGCCTTTGTACAAACACAGTCTAACTTACAATGATTCTTTTATACAAACACACACACAGAAACAGAGTAACGCATCATTGCATGATTCCAGTCACATCCATATATATAGTTAAACATATGTAGCTCTTTAACAGAGTATAGCACTCTTTCCTTCCTGTTCTATCTCATCGTTATTACTCTTGTTTTGTCAATGTCTTTCTCATCATTTACTCTCACATTTTTGACATTCTGAAGTGTGCATATGTTCATTCATGTATTTATAAAATATTCATTTATTAAGCACCCACAATTCTGCCAGGCATTTGACACCAAGGGTAAAAATATTGAACAAGTCAGCCAAATTCCTGTTTTCATGGAGCTTGCATTCTAGTGGAAGATAATAGAAAAGGCAAAAATCAGTACACAAAAAATGCTATTTCAGAGAATAAATAATAAAAATAAAAAGGAATCATCACCTTTGAATTTTTCAATCCATTCTTTATTTATTCAGTTAATATTAGGCACCCATAATCTCCCAGGAAATGCACCAGAGGCTGAAAATAAAATGGAAATGAATAACATAGCAGGGCAAACTCACAGTGGTTGAGGAAATAAGGAGAGAGGCAGGAGACAGATTTGCCTTGAATATGAAGAGAGTAAAAGTAAATTGTTTCAAAAATCCGAATGCATATGCCATAGAGTAGACATCGCACTTAAAACACATTGCGGTCCCATTTGTCTACTCTTGCTTTGTTGCCATTGCTTTTGGAGACTTCATCATGAAATCAATGCCAATGCCTATGTCCAGAATGATATTTCTTAGGTTTTCTTCTAGGGTTTTTTACAGTTGTACATTTTACATTTAAGTCTTTAATTCATTTTGAGGTGATTTTTGTATATAGTGAAAGGAAGGTGTTCAGTGTCAATCTTCTGCATATGGCTAACCAGTTAACTCAGCAGCATTTATTGAACAGGGATTTCTTTCACCATTGCTTGTTATTGTTGATTTTGTTGACTAGCAGATGTCTGTACGTATCTGGCTTTATTTCTCAGTTCTTTAACCTGTTCCATTGTCCCATATGTCTGTTTTTGTACCAGTACCATACTGTTTTGTTTACTGTAGTCTTGTAGTATAGCTTAAAGTTGGGTAGCATGATGTGTGATGCCTCCAGCAATTTTTTTTTTCTTAGAATTGCTTTGGCTATTTGAGCTTGTTGTGGGTTCCATATAAATTTTAGAATAGTATTTTCCAATTTTGTGAAAAGTGACTGATATGGTTTGGCTCCTTGTCCCCACTCAAATCTTGTAATCCCTAATGTTATGGAAGGGACCTGGCGGGAGGTAATTGGATCATGGAGGCAGATTTTCCACTTGCTGTTCTCTATGGCATATGCTGTTCTGAGTTCTAGTGAGTGAGTTCTCATGAGACCTGGGTTTTTTAAAGTGCGTAGCACTTCCCCATTCACTCTTTCTCCTGGCACCACGTGAAGACAGGCTTGCTTACCCTTTGCTCTTTCCCCATGATTGTAAATTTTCTGAGGCCTCCCCATCCATGCCTCCTGTACAGCCTGTGGAACTGTGAGTCAATTAAACCTCCTTTCTTTATAAATTACCCAGTCTCAGGTAGTTCTTTATAGCAGTGTGAGAACAAACTAATAAAGGGACATTGATAGTTTGATAGGAATAACAATGAATCTGTAAATTGCTTTGGGCACTATGGCTATTTTAACAATATAGATTCTTCCTATCCATGAGCATGCAATCTTTTTCTACTTTTGTGTCATCCCTGATTTCAGCAGTGTTTTGTAATTGTCATGGTAGAGATCTTTAACCTCCCTGGTTAGCTGTATTTCTAAGTACTTTATTCTTTTTCTGGCTATTGTAAATGAGATTGTGCTGTTGATTTGGCTCTCAGCTTGGGTGTTTTAGTACATAGAAATGATACTGATTTTTGTACATTAATTTTGCATCCTGAAACTTTACTGAAGTTGTTTATCAGTTCTAAGTGCCTTTGGGCAGAGACTATGGGATTTTCTAGGTATAGAATTTTATTGTCTGTGAAAAGAGATACTTTTTTTCCCCTCCTATTTAGATGCCTTTTATTTCTTTCTCTTGTCTGATTGCTTTGGCTAGACTTTCAGTACTACGTTTAATAGGAATGGTGAGACTGGGAGTCCTTGTCTTGTTCCAGTTCTCAGGGGGAATACTTCCAGCTTTTGCCCATTCAGTATGATGTTGGCTGTTGGTTTTTCTAGATGGCTCCTATTATTCTGAGGTATGTTCCTTTGATGTCTAGTTTGTTGAGTGTTTTACCATGAAGCGATGTTTAATTTTATTGAAAGCCTCCTCTGTCTATTGAGATTATCATCTAGTCTTCCTTTTTAGTTATGTCTATGTGATGAATGACATTATTGATTTGACTCTGTTGAACCAAACTTTCATCCTAGGAATAAAGCCTACTTTATAGTGGTGACTTAGCTTTTTGATGTGTTGCTGGATTGTGTTTGCTAGTATTTAGTTGAGGATATCTGCATCAATGTTCATCATCAGTGTTTGCCTGAAATTTTTATTTTCCATTGTATCTCTACCAGATTTTGGTATCACAATAATGCTGGCCTCATAGAATGAGTTAGGGAGTAGTGCTTCTTCCTCAATTTTTTTGGAATATTTCACTAGGACTGGTACCAGCTCCTCTTTGTAAATCTGGTAGAATTCAACTCTGAAGGCAACTGGTACAGGGCTTTTTCTGGATGATAGATTTTTTATTACCGATTCTGTTTTAGAACTTCTTATTGGTCTATTCAGGATTTAATTTCTTCCTAGTTAAATCTTTGGAGGTTGTATGTTTTCAGAAATGTATCCAATTATTCTATGATTTCTACTTTGTGTGCATAGAGGTGTTCATAATAGTCTCTATGGGTTTTTTTCATTTCTATGGAGTCAGTCATAATGTTACATTTTTCATCTTTGATTGTGTTTAAATTTTTTTCTTTGTTAATCCAGCAGAAGTCTATCAATTTTGTTTATCCTTTAGAAGAATCAACTTTTGGTTTCATTGACCTTTTGTATTAATTTTTACATATTAATCTCATTTGTGATATTAGGTTGTTAATTTGAGATCTACCTAACTTCTGAATGTAGGCATTTAGCAATATAAACTTTCCGCTTAACCCTGCTTTAGCTGTGTCCCAGAGATTTTGATGTGTTGTATTCTTGTTTTCGTTAGTTTCAAAGAATTTTTTGATTTCTGCATTAATTTTACTCTTTATCTAAAACTTAGGAGCAGGTTGTTTAATTTCAATATAATTGTATAATTTTTAGAGATCTTCTTGGTATTTATTTGTATTTTATCGTGCTGTGGTCTGAAAGTGTTGTTGGTATCATTTTGGTTCTTTTTTGTATTTATTGAGATATCTTTATGGCTGGGCGTGTGGTTGATCCTAGAGTATGTGCTTTGTTCAGGTAAGAAGAATGTATATTATGTTGTGCAGAGTATTCAGTAGATGCCTCTGGACGGCAAAAGAAATTGTCAACAAAGTAAACAGGCAACTCGCAGAATGGGAGAAAATTCATCCAGTTGGATGAATACTCTGTAAATATTGGATATTAAATTCAAAGTCTAATATCCAGAATTTATAAAGAACATAAACAAATCAACAAGCAAAAGCCAAACCACTTCATTAAAACATAGGCAAACTATATAAACAGAAACTTCTCAAAAGAAGACATAAATGCATCCAACAAGCACGTAAAAAATGCTCAACATCACTAATCATTAGAGAAATGCAAATCAAAACCACAATGATATATCATCTCACACCAGTCAGAATGGTTATTATTAAAAAGTCAAAAATAACAGATTTTGGAAAGGCTGTGAAAAAAATAAGAATGCTTATACACTGTTTGTGGGAATGTAAATTAGTTCAGCCATTGCAGAAAGTTTAGAGACCTCTCGAAGAACTTAAAACGTAACTACCATTAAACCCAGTAATTGTAGTACTAAGTATATACCCAAGGGAATATAAATCATTCAACCAAAAAGACACATGCACTTGTATATTCGTCACAGCACTATTCACAAAAGCAAAGACATGGAATCAACCTACAGGCCCCTCAATTGTGGACTTGATAAAGAAAATGTGCTACATGTATATTTTGGAATACTACGCAGCCATAAAATATGAAATCATTCCTTTGCAGCAACATGGCTACAGCTAGAAGCCATTATCCTAAGTGAATTAATGCAAGAACAGCCAACCAAATTTCACACTTTTTTACTTATAAGTAGGAGCTAAACATTGAGTACAAATGGACACAAAGATGGGAACAACAGACACTAGGACCTACTTGAGGGGGAAGGGTGGGAGTAGAGGAATCGTTGAAAAACTACCTATCAAGTACTATGCTCACCACCTGGGTGACAAAATCATTTGTATACCAAACCCCTGCAACATGCAATTTACTCATGTAACAAACCTATACATGTACTGCTGAACCTAAAATAAAACTTGAAAAAAAAAGCAAATGAATAAGATACAATGAGGGATTTTTGTAAGAGCTATAACATAAGGGTCCAAATTCATTCTTTTTAATTTGAATCTCTCGTTTTCCCAACACTATTTAGTGAAAAGCCTACTTTTTCCAGTTGTGTATTCTTGACACCCTTGTCGAAGATCAGTTGACTGTAGTAGGTGCATGAACATATATATATATATATATATATATATATATATATATATATATATATGTACACACATAGATAAATATATGTCTGTGTATACCTACATATATAAATATAGATCTAGATTTCTGGAAACTCTATTTTGTTCCATTAGATTTTATGCCAGTACCATACTGTTTTAATGCTGGAACTCTGTAATATATATTCAATTAAGGAAGTGGGATGCCTATCTTTGTTCCTTCTCAAAATCACTTTGGCAATTTTTCATCTTTTGTGTCTTCATATATATTTTGGGATTGTGCTTTTTAATTTCTGTAAAAATACATGGGGATTTTGATGAAGATAGTAAGAATCTGTGGATTAATTTGGGTAGTAAGGGCATTTTAACAATGTTACATTTTCTAATCCATGAACATGTGATGTCTTTTCATTTATTGGCGACTTCTTCATAATGCTTCATCAATGTTTGACAGTTTTCAGTAAACGTTTTTTATCTTCTTGGTTTAGTCTATTTCTGCATATTTCATTTTTTTTTTGAGATGGAGTCCTGTTTTCTTGCCCAGGCTGGAGTGCAGTGGCATGATTTTGACTCACAGCAACCTCTGTCTCCCAGGTTCAAGAATTTCTCGTGCTTTAGCCTCCCAAGTAGCTGAGACTACAGGCATACACCAACATGTCCAGCTAATCTTTGTATTTTTAATAGAGACAGGGTTTCACCATGTTGGCCAGGCTGGTCTCGAGCTCCTGGCCCCAGGTGATTCGCCTGCCTCGGCCTCCGAAAGTGCTGGGGTTACAGTCGTGAGCCAGTGCACCTAGCTTCATATTTTATTCATTTTGATGCTATGGTAAGTGAGATTTCTAAAAACCTATTTTAGATATTTTATTTTTTGTATATAGAAACACAACTAAATTCTGTATGTTGATTTTGCATTCTACAGCTTTATTAAATTTATTAGTTCTAACAGTGTGTGTGTGTGTGTGTGTGTGTGTGTGTGTGTGTGTGTGTGTGTAGTCTTTAGGATTTTCTGCATATGAGATCATGTCATCTGCATTATTTCACTCATTTGAGGTATTTAAAATAGTCAAACTAATAGAAGCAGAGATCAGAATGGTTTTTTCCAGGAGCTGGTGGATAGGAAAATGGGGAGTTGTTATTCAGTAGACATAAAGTTTCAGTTATTTTATATACATAAGTTCTAAAAAGATGCTGTACGGCATACTGCCTATAGTTAGCAATAGTATTTTGCATTTAAAAATTTATTAAGAGTATAGACATGTTGAGTGTTTTGTTTTGTTTTGGTTTTTTGTTTGCTTGTTTGTTTGAGACAGAGTCTTACTCTGTCACCCAGGCTGGAGTGCACTGGCGTGATATCAGCTCACTGCAACCACTGCCTCTCGGGTTCAAGTGATTCTCCTGTCTCAGCCTCCCGAAAAGCTGGGATTACAGGTGCCTGCCACCACACCCACCTTTTTTGTGTTTTTAGTAGAGATGGGGTTTCACCATGTTGGTAAGGCTGGTCTTGAACTCCTGACCTCAGGTGATCCACCTGCCTCGGCCTCCCAAAGTGCTGGGATTACAGGTGTGAGCCACCGTGCCCGGCCATGTTGAGTGTTCTTACAACAAAAACAACCTAAAACAAAGAGGCACAAGCAAACTTTTAAAGTTGGTGGATATTCTATTAGCTTGGTTGTGATGATGGTTTCACAAGTAGACATACATGTCCAAACTCATTAAATTGTGTATATTAAATATGTGCAGTATTTTATATATCAATATAAATCTACTAACACAGTGAGAGAGAAAAAAAATCTTTTGGTCAATGGAGACATTTAAGAGAGGGGCTTTTATGGCATCCTAGGCTGCAGTGTAATTAGCAGCTAAAGTGGAGAGACTGAGCATAGGCCACTCTTCATGAAGCTGATGTTGAAAAGGGATAAAAGGTTAATAGATTTATGGAGAGGCAGTATTAAAGGATGTTTGTCAATAAGGGTGTAATCTTATTTTTGAAAGCCAAGAGAAGTGTGTGATGAAAGGAAAAAGAGTGGGCTAGCATAAAAGAAAGAGAAAGGGAGCAAGGTCAAAAGGAGCTGAAAATGAAAGTCTTCATAATTTAAGTCAGTGAAGCTATTCCCGTTCCTGAGGCTGGAGGAAAAGAACTAAAAATGTGTACTGTTGTGGATACATTTAAAGTCAAAGGGAAAGAAATACAGGGAGAATGAGCAACTGAAGTCCTTTGTCTCTAATAAAGATTGGATAGTTAAAGAGCGTAAGTCCTAGAGGCAGTCTTTTCAGATATGAATGAATCCCTTCTCTGTCACTTAATGGTTGTGTGACTGGGGCTCAATACTTAGTGTCTCTGAGTCTTGACTCTTCATCTCTTATTTTTTCTTTTATACTTTAAGTTCTAGGGTACATGAGCACAACGTGCAGGTTTGTTACATATGTATACATGCGCCATGTTGGTGTGCTGCACCCATTAACTCGTCATTTACATTAGGTATATCTCCTAATGCTATCCCTCCCCCCTCCTCACACCACGGCAGGCCCCGGTGTGTGACGTTCCCCTTCCTGTGTCCAGGTGTCCTCATTGTTCAATTCCCACCTATGAGTGAGAACATGTGGTGTTTGGTTTTTTGTCCTTGCGATAGTTAACAGAGATATTGTACCTCACAGAGCTGATGTGGCCATGTGATGAAGTCACATGTATAAAGTGTTATGACAATGCTTGAAACACAGGTGACACATACTACTACTATTTTTGTTATTTCTCATTGTTTCTATATTCATCAATTAATAATAATAATATTAGAATACTAAAAATGTTGCTGAGTAACTCATGATTACCCCTTAACTCCGTGTTCACCATTTATCTACAAACTCTAAAATAGGCATCTACAGCACATCCCGCAGCAGTTTGTACTTAGCTCTGCTCCGAAGGCCTCTGTCCTTGAAACCAAAGCAAGCTGTGCTTTTGGCATTGCTAAGTCTCAACATTATTAAAAGGACATAGATAACAGATTCACAACAACCTTCTGGCTTGATTTTTGGCAAGTTACTATTTCATATGGTACAAATAATCATAAAATTATATTGCATACACTTATAATTTTATAACAATTACATAGCCTTTGCCAGGTTTTCCCTAATAACTTCATCTATAATTAGTATGTAATCTTCAGGCATAAATAACACTCTAATTAGTCTGTAATCTGTAATTATAATATATTTACAGGCAAGGTATATACATGTGTGAATATATGTATAAGTGCATTTAGGCAGTCTGAAATAACAAAGCTCTTTTAATAAGTAAAGGAATTATGTAGATTTCATGTGTAAACAATTTTCAGTGCTATTAAAGAATAAGTGAAATTAGATGAAACCTCTTCATTGACTTTCCATGCCTTCATATTATACATAGCAATAGCTATATTTACAAAATGGCAATAATTGATATATGCAATATTGTTATGCTTGAGCAAGCATGTTGTAAGCACCAGATATGGCAAGAAGACATAGCATCTGGATTGTAAGCTTCATATTCAGTTTGGAGAACAGAAATGATGTTATTACATAATTTAAATATTATTGTCAAACTATTTTTCCAAATAGGTGTGTTTAGAGATTAGTAAGTAAATTAATTTGAAATCATAAATGTTATGAGCTTTGAATTTGAGTTTTAAAATTAAAATAACATATTCTTGTGACCCCACCATTCTAAAATGTAAATCAAATTATTTGGAAAGAAAATAATTAGAAAATACTTGCCAAAGCAACCAAGAAGTTAACATCTTATGTCTCAAGTCACGTATTAAGAGAGGGAAGGAACTTGCAGCTTAGCAAGAGGTAGGAGAGAAAGGGAAGTGAGGGGCAGACAGGGAATTATCTTTTTTTTTTTTTTAACGTGCTTACCAGAAATGCTAATGAAGAAAATACAGGAAAAAACAATTATTTTCATTTGATAAAAGAGCCATCCTGCTGTCAATTAACAAAATCTGAGATATGGAAATCTACAGATAAAAAGAGTTAAGAAGGAATTACGTGTGCCTGAGTACAGCTAACATCTCTAAAAGAGCCAGACAACGACATCAAAAGAAGACAATATGATTAAGGCTGGGACAATATTAGGTTAATTCTAGGCCCTGTTCTGCTCCCAGTAGGATTTGGTAAGAAAGACAATTCTATCTCAGAACCAGGATCTGTTTAACCCCAAGGATGATTCTAAAGGAGGACTTATTTTCTTCAGCTCTTTCAGAATCATCCTTGAGGTTAAATAGATGCTGGTTTGGGACCATGCTTGGGACCATAATTACATGGAATCATTTATTTGTTTGTAATATCTTGGTTGTCATGATCACTTGTGACCTTATCGTATAAATCTTGTTTATTAGGAAGTTTAAATTTCAGCAATAGCTTTAGCTGTGCAAGCTATGAACTTAGGCAGTGAATAATACATTTTAATAAAATTCACATAAATAAAGTTTAACACCAAGGACACCTGGTGTTCTTTGTGTAGTTTCATAGGAAAGTGTCAAATACAAGAAAAATAAATGTTTTTTCCTTTGGGGGATGGTTCAAATATGTCAGAATATTGGTAAAATGTACCTATGCAATCATTCGGTCAACAGACATTTTTGAGCATCTTCTATGGTGCTTGGGGGTTAAAGTTAATGGTGACACTGTAAACATCTGTCTTGATCACTGATATTGAACTCCATACTGAAGGTATGACTGAGGCTCAGGGACAGGCTTGGCTAAAGGGAAAGTGGAAAGTAACAGAGAACAAAGGCATCCAAAGAACATTTGCTGTTGACATTCAGGTACCGCTTATGGGAGTTTCCAAGCAGAAGTCACAGTACTCAAATAAAAAAGGGTTGAATGCTAATAAAGGGGATGTGAAGCAAGACATTTAAGAAATCAGCAGGGGGTGTGTTTATCTGAGACCTGGTCATCTGTCAATCTGCAACTGGCAGGTGAACACAGGCGTACCAGACAGTATTTGATAGCAAATGATGGAATTCAACTTAATTGACTTAAATTAGAGTCTTGTATGACTGAAAGATTACATCTAGGATTGATTTTAGTCTTAACAGAATCAGGAAACTGAAATGATATCTCTCCATGTAGTTTGAGTTTGCTCTCCTCAGTGGTACCTTTATTCTCAGGAAATTTTTCTCTGGGAAAAATGTGATCACCATGAGGGCCAAAACTGTATTCACAGGCTTATGTTCCCCAGGGTAAGTAGAGGACCATTTTCTCGAGTTTCAGCAAAACACTGGGCAGCTCTTTCATTGCCCTCATCTTAAATTTGGTTCTCAGACCTAAACCCATTCCTATGGCCAGAAGGATGCAGTATCCAATGTTGATGGCACCTCAACTTACCTAGATGGATGGACTTAGCATACAGATCATGGGTTCCTAAAGGAAAATTGGGTGCTGTTACCAGAAGAGGGAGGAATGGATGCTGAGCAGATACATGCATCCTTTAAAGGATCCCCGAACTTTTCTCTCTTGTGTATGCACACACATGAATAAACACACACACACACACACACACACACACACCCCTTAAACTGTAATTACAACTTCTCTATATGTGATTAGAAAAAACATTAAGATTCCAACAGGCCAGAGATAACAGATATATGCAGACAACAGAAAATAAAAATCCTTACCTGCATATGAGAAAAAAATGTGTCCATAAAGGAAAAGAAATTAGAACACTAATGAGGTACCATGTTTCAACCAAATCTAGCAATTGTTCTCTGAAATGAACAGCTAGTACAGTGTAAATTATTGTCAGTTTCTTTGGAGCATTTTATTCAACTTATATCGCTAAACTTAAAAAGTGTGTTTATGTATACTGATCTAGTAGTATTGATTTTCAAAAACTAACCTAAGAAAATAATCCAAAATATATGAATATTATTTCAGTGTCACATATAATATGAAAAAATTAAGATCATATAAAAATTAACATCAGTAACACGTTGTTTCTTATAAAACAGAAGTATCAAGTTATCTTAAGCAATTCAATTTGACCTTTGCGGGCCCTCATTTTCTGACTAGTAGAACAAGAAAAATGTTACTAGTTTAATAGGTTTTTTTAAAAAAATAAATAAATTGATAATATGTGTAAACACCTAGTGCATTGAATATAGTTGGTTGAGGAATGGTAGCCTTTATTAAAACTAGAATCATGATTAAAGTTACTTTTGTATAGTACCAAGAAAGAATTCCATTACCCTATGTTAAATTAAAATAAATCAATTGAATGAATGCACATGAATAAAACATTTAGGGACTTCTCATTATCATTACTGCTGTATTAGGGTAGGTGGCATAATTAGCTTTTTTTACTCTATTTTCCAAATTTTATGTGTCCTTATATTTGAGTGTTTGTAATTCGTGGAATAACCAATGTATGTAAAAGCAGTTTACAACATGTGTTGTGTCATACCAAAGTAAAGAGGGCTGATAGTGATTATTTTGATGAAGTGAGAAAGGCAGGGCACTTCCCAGGCTAAATTACCCATGCCATGGGAGACACATAAGTGTTTGACACACAGAGTGAATATTTCAAGAGCTGGAATATCTCCTCCCCTCCCAGAGGAGATGGATCTGATGGCACACAGTGCTGGCTGGATTGTGACCTAGGGTCTTCAGCAGGGTAAAGCTAAGAGGCAGAACATCTTTCTCTTGCCAAAGCTAGTCTGAAGGCAGATTTTTGAACCCTCAAAAAATAGCCAAATGAGAATTTAGTGGGTTATAAATCTAAACAGGCTTGGGACCTAATAAAACCAGTGTGTGAGCGAGTTCAAGATGGATAGGAGAAAATGGGAATGTGTCCCTAGCAGCTAAAGCTACTGTTGGTTTTATTTGAAGCACCAACAGCCGTGGATATAGAGATATTTCAGCTTATTAGAGGAAATGACTAGAGTGCGTCCTGAGCAGAAAGATGCTATGCCTTGAAAGAGCCTTGCATTCCAAAGATCTGAATTCAGACTGGATCTATGAATGGTTAGCAATGGGTTCTCAGGCAGAAATTTGGTCTCCCTAAACTTCAGTGTCCTTAGACACAAAATGTGGCACAAATATCTGCCTTAGATACAGGACTTTTGTGATGAAAAGAGATGATTAATGTGGAATGCTGAGCTGTCATCATGGGGCTCTTCCCAGAGTGTTATACTGGTTAATTAAGAACCATATACATTAATAAATTTAATAAAACATAATTTGTGCAAATAAGGTAATTTTAAATAATCAATTTCTAAATAATCTGAGTGTTGTTACATATATATGTACCTGTATACCTGTACAAACACACACACACACACACGTAGTTTGATAATTCTTCTCAACATTCCATCCCCCAAAATTTTTAATGCCTACTGCTCTCACCCTCAAGTTTATACATCCACATGCCTCTTTTTGCCTTCTACAACCCTTCCATCCCTCCTGACTTTTCCTCTCAAAAGTCTAAGAATCAGTCTCACGAAGCAGGTATCTCTTTAGAAAATGATACCAGGAATGGAAGAATGTTAATATTTATGGAGAATGGTATATGCGTGGTGTGTAAAGTAAATGTTCTAATGATTGGCATACACTAGTGTCTGAAATAAGTAGCACATACATTAATGTTATTATTATTATTACTTTGCCTTTTGACAAGCTCATCTAGACTCTTGGGTTGCATTTTCCATCTTTGACTAGTTAGTTGATAAAATGTTTCAGTGTGTTTTAGTGAGGACCAATGCTCTGTCCACAAAGTGGCATATACTGAGAATTCTCCTACAGAAAATCTTAAGAAACAGTACAGGATAACATTCGGGTTTGGATATCAATGGTGTTATGTTAGTAGTCAAGGCTCTTAATCAAACACTTTTTGGCTATTTTGAGTAACTGAATGTCTTTATTCCCTCCAGCATTGTTCAATTCCTGTTTGTTCAACTGAGCAAATAGGAATGAGATACCTACAATGCACCAAAAACAGTGATAAACCCTGGGGAATATGGAGCTGAGTACAATATAGTTGCTCTGCGTTTCTAAGAATTGTATATGGAACCTATGGAGCAGAGAGATCATTTGAAAGTGATTGATACTCCTTTGCTCCCCATCCTCACTCACCACTTTACCCAGATGCAATAATCGCAAGAGTGGGGTGGAAATGCAGTCTACACTCTCTACAGTGTTAGGCCCACTGTACTCTGAGCCTAAGGGTCATTGGCTTCCCAGGGACACAGATAAAGCAAGTATGGTAGTTCCCTTTTATCTGTGGGGGATAAGTTCTAATATGCCCAGTGGATGCCTAAAACCATGGATGATACCAAACTCTATATATACTAATTTCTGCACACATTTCTTTTTCCTTATTTATAATTTTATGGATAGAATATTTGTTCATACACTAAATCTTAGCAACCTGAGCATGCAATTTTATTTCTTTATTAGGTAGACAACTTTTTCTTTTTCACTTAAAGAAAAGGCGTTATAGCTTCTCTTTGACATATCTGAATTACCAGCATCAGAATTCTTGGTCTTTGGGCCATTATTAAGTAAAATAAGGGTGACTCAAACATGAACACTGCACTACCAATACTTCCACAGTCAGTCTGATATGTGAGAAAGCTACTAAATGACTAACGGGACAGGTAGCAAATTCAGCATAAATACACCGGACAAAGGGCTGATTCATATCCCAGGCGGGGCATATCAGGATGGTGTGAGATTTTATTACCCTACTCAGAATGGTGCACAAGTTAAAACTTATGTATTGTTTATTTGTGGAATGTTTCATTTAATATTAGTGGACCACAGTTAGTTGTGGGTAACTGAAACTGTGGAAAGCAAAACTGCAGATAAGGGAGGACGACTGCACAGTCTTCTTTACTGGTAATCTTTAACTGACTGTTCATTTGTGATCACCTCTATAACCAACGATTTCCTTCAAGCATCTACAGCAGGCTCTCAGACACATGATGAAGGGCAGAGATTCTAGATACAGATTGCTAGGGTTTATATCAAACGATGTTACTTTCTCAGGACATGTTTCTGAACAAGTTACTTTATCTTTCTGTGCCTCAGTTTCCTCTGATCACAGTAATAATGACAATAGTGTTTTCTGCCTCAGAGTTGCTATGAGAATTAATTGGGCTATTACAAATGAAGTGGTTGGGGCTGTGACTGTCAATAAATCATAGCTGTTTATATCAATGTTATTGTAATGCTATTGTTATCTCACCAGTGAAACCCGGTGCTGTGACTTCCACAAGAATGTCTCCTAAATACTTCAATTTGCTAACTGTTCACATCTCAAACCCTGTCTCCCACTCTCTCTGTCTCTCTCTCCACTGTATCTTGGGTATATCCCGTAATTCTCCGTTGTTTTCTGTTTTCAATACAAATACCTCAATAGCTATAATATTGGTAATAATGATAGTTTTATCAGTCACTGGGATGAATGAACTATATCATTTGGGTTTCACAACATTTTTCTCAGTTGGGAAGTATCATTTTCCACATTTCATTGTTAAGGCTTGTAGATAGAATGAAGCAATAATTCAATCCATCATACGTGTTTGCTCCTAAAGTCCTGTAATTAGCTGTGGATGTCCACCGCCTCCTTTAGGCCCTTATATGTCCAGGCCAGGTGGCCATGAGAATCTCTTGTATGGACTCACTGCCTGTACTCCCTCCTAGTTTATACAGACAAGCGACGTTTTCCAACAGCAAATCTGACCATGCTATTTTCCAGGTAAAAACACTTTCATAAGGATTATCAATGAACTAAGGTTTAAATTTCAATATGGAAACCAATCAACCCTCATATCTGACTCTGATTTAGTTGTGTAGTCTTCTCCCTTTCATCACTGCCCAGCCATGTTTCCTAGTCATTGAAATCCATGGAACTTTCGGA
The DNA here is from genome assembly GCF_000001405.40 of Homo sapiens. Taxonomy (NCBI): domain Eukaryota; kingdom Metazoa; phylum Chordata; class Mammalia; order Primates; family Hominidae; genus Homo; species Homo sapiens. The sequence continues at coordinate 136,554,793 of NC_000008.11, read as the reverse complement.
ATAGATCTTGATGTTGTAACATTCTATGTCTTCATCTATTTAGTTATCTTTGCTGAATTTGTTCTATGCTATACATTGTACCACCTGACTCCCTTTCCCACTTAGAAAATTTTTACTTGGGCTTTGAGGCTCAAATTCATTGTCCACCTGTAAACCTTTTGATAACCTCTTCTTTGATGAATGGACCACTTCTTTATTAAAACCTCCAATGTTCCCTTCTTTCTTCTTTTATAAAACCCAGACATCATGACATGTGGGTGGCCTCTCAGTCTCTGAGTTGTTTAATTATTTGAGGGGAGATATAATACTGTATTTCTCTTGATATCTTAGCAAAGCATAGAGTTTGGCATATAGCACCTGTTTAATAAATATTGCCTAATTGAATAATGTTGATGTAGCAAGATGAGCTAAAACTGTCACCACTGCTATCGGAGCTGACGAGTTATGTGGAAAACAGAAATCAACTGTTTGGACACGGCACCATTAACACCAGATGACTGAGAGCAGGAAGAAACATGCCATTAGTCAGGGTTATAAATTTGTAAGAAATAAGATCAACGTCAATTTAATAGGGAAAACGTGAATCCTCTGTCTAGACTCTATGAAAACATATTATGCAGACTAAATTAATTCTTTCTATTACAAATAAAATAACTGTAATAGTGGAAAATTGTGTCTCCATTCATGTTTTTAGGAGAAAATTTGTTGCTGTATCACATTCAGGGAGAAAGTTTGGTTGCCGTAAAATTGGGGAAAGCCTAAACAAAGTAAGATTTTATTCAGCATCCTCCAGTTTGAGGAGAATAATTTGCAAGACTTAAGAAAGGGCTAGATTCAGATTTCCCTTACCTGGTGGAGAGCCAGGACAGGTCCTGAGGGAAGGAAATTAGCTTCCAAGAGACCAAGGGGAGAACTAAAAGGCAGGAGAAGCTCAGCAAAATGTTGCATTCAAGTAGTCTACTTTGCAAATACCTATAGCCAAGGATGCAGATTAATTTAAGAAAAGTTACTGAATCCTTCTAAAACAAACAAAATTATTCAAACCTCACTGTGGATTTAGGCCAGTGAAGGAAGCCAAGGGGCTATTCAGGAAGAGTACAATTCTGTGATTATCTGATAAGCACCACCTGATAAATTGTAAGGTAAGAGACATAATTGAGTTATTATTTCAGTTTAAGAAACAGAAAAATTAATTTCTTTAATTCTCAGTCTATCATTCTAGAACTTTTAGGGGTAAACTCTGGAGGCCATAAAGACATGCATTTGTGTATAAAACATTTTTCCTCTGGGTCAGTCACAACACAAACAGTGGTAGTTCTGTATTTGACTCTTTGTCCAGAAATACATGGAATCATCTGGAAGTTCCATGGATTATATAAATTGCATGTTTATAATAGTTAATAATAAAGATAAGAACATATCTTATTTATTGATTGTCTCATATGCCTAACACAAGAGTAAGTTCTCCACTATAATATCTACAGATTATAGTATCTATTGACTCACAGTCTGTTTAGATCCAAAGTCTGCAGGATTTCTTTAGAGTGTCCTTTTAATACTAACGTATTCTCTGGCAGTACTCATAATTAATATATACAGGACCATCAATAAATAGAAAAAGTATCATTAGATGGATGAAGAAAGTGAGGAAGGAATCAAGTTTATTTGGAAACACAAAAAAAAAGCAAACGAAGGAAAGAAAGAGGTTGTTTTAAAAGAAAAAAAGAAAGAAAAGTAACAGATAAATCAAGTTTCAAACTAAGAACCCGGGCTTCTCACCAGATGGTTCCTAAGAATAAAATGCCTGAAACAACCCAGACAGGATTTTCCATAAGGCAAAGTTAGGTCTCCTAAAATTCTCAGCTCTGTAAGTGCAAATGAAATGTAAAAATAGACATTTTTCATAACATCCCCTTTGTAATCTTGAACATTTCAAACTTCTGAACAAACTAGATAATATTTAGTGGAACCATCAGAATATATGGGCCTGATATGATGCTGCCTATGCTAAAATGGGGGATTTGCTAGTTGGAGCTCACTCTTATTTTGTCTATATGACAACTTTTGCAGCCCTCCTCACACTGTCCTTCTCTGTTCCTAGACCCACAGTGCCTTGAAGTCAGAAATTATGGCAGATTATTTTGTCTTCATATTTGAAACTTTTATTCCTTTCATCTATAAAAGTTTCTGTAAAAAGGTCCTCAGGAGACAAATTCAGCAAAGCTTGGAGGATATTTGAGTTAGATACACGGGATGATTTACCCAATCTGGAAGGACTTGCGTGTAGAAAAGCAATACAAAAGATAAACAAAACTAAAAGCTCTTTTTTAAAAAGATAAATAAAACTGAAAAAATTCTTTAGTTTAAGAGAAAAAGGACTCAAATAAATAAAATTAAGAATGAAACAGGAAACATTACAACTGATACCAAAGAAATACAAAGGATCTTACAGGACTATTATAAACAATTATATGCCAAAAAATTGGATAGTCTAGAAGATATGGATAAATTCTCAGACACATAAAACCTACTGAGACTGAATCATGAAGAAATAGAAACTATTAACAGACCAAAAATGAAAGAGGATGTTGAAGTGGTAATAAAATGTTTTCCATCAAAGAAAATTCCTGGGTCTAATGGCTTTACTACTAAATTCTACCAAACATTTAGAAAAGAACCAGTATCAATTATCCACAAACTACTCCAAAAGATCCAAGAAGCAGGACTACTTCCAAACTCCTTTTATAAGGCCAGCATTATTCTGATACCAAAGCCAAAGAAAGATATCACAAAAAAAGAAACAAAATGGAAAACTATAGGCCAATATCCTTGATAAACACTGATGCACAAATCCTCAACAAAATACTAGCAAACCAAATTCATCAACACATTAAAAGATGATTCACCACTATCGAGTGGGATTTTTCCCTGGAATGCAAGGATGGTTCAACATAGGCAAATCAATCAATGTGATACACAACATTAACAGAATAAAGAACAAAAAGCATATGATCATCTTGCTAGACACAGAAAAAACATCTGGCAAAATTCAACAGCCGTTTATGATAAAAAGAACTCTTACCAAATTAGGTATAGAAGGAACGTACCTCAACACACTAATAGCCATATATGGCAAACCCACAGGTAACAACATCATACTCAATGAGGAAAAGTTTGAAGCTTTTCCCCTAGGATTCAGAACAAGACCAGGATGCCCACTCTCACCACTGCTATTCAACAGCTCTGCTTCTTATCAGCCACCATGTCTACGCCAGTACCCAACACACAGCTTGTGCTTTCTACGTTTCTTATTTTTTCTTCCTGCTTCAAATCCAACCTCTGCCATTTACTTGCTATAAAATTCATTACGAGTTACCTATCACTTTACATCTCTGTCTCAGTTTTCATAACTGAAGGTTTTTTCCCAAAATTAAAATGATTTTATTACTTCATATATGTTGTGTGTGCTCCAGTGGATTGACAGAATTTATTTATATTGCACAAGTGAAACTGAATCAGACAAATTTGATTTGGGGGTGGGGAAAGACTTCACACATAGGCAAAATTTTAAAATATCACACAAAAAATATTAGAATCTCTGCATTTCAAAAAAAAAACACAAAAAACAAAACATTTGTGGCAAATATGGCAGATAAAATATTGAAATTATTAATCTTAAGGAATTTAAATAAACCAATATGAAGAGTAAAACACATGCAAAGGACATATTAGTTCTCAGAACCTAGATGTTTTAAATGCTAAGAAACAGGAAAAATATGTATCCTCATTAATAATCAAAGAAGTTTGAATTGAAGCAATGTGACATCACTAGTGATACTTTGGGGCAAATATATTTAAGTGTGCTAATGCCAGAGATGAGAAGAGAATCATGAAATACTCTCACTGCTGATGGAAGTAAGTTTGGTATGCTTCTTCGGTCTCAACTTTTATTTTAGGTACTAGGGGCACATCAGTGCTGGAATGGATAAAGAAAATGTGGCACATACACACTGTGGAATACTACACAGCCATAAAAAAAGGACAAAATCATATCCTTTGCAGCAAACTTCTTTTGCAGCTGGAAGGTTATTATCCTTAGCGAATTAATGCAGAAACAGAAAACCGAAGACTGCATATTCTAACATATCTGAGTTTAAATAACAGTGATAATAACACCTGTCTCACAGAGTTCTTGCCAGTAGTACTTGAAATAACATATAAAAATGCATAGCACAGTGTCCAGCTTCATGTTGAAAAACAGTGTCATGACTACAACTTAGAAGATATGTGCAAATGAATAAGCCTCTATCCCTGATTCCAACGAATAAATAATCTAGCAGAAAGAGAAAGTAAATTTAAAATGACCTTATACATTGCAATGAACGTTAAAGTCAGATATGCACATAAAACATTGTTTTTGCCACTTACTGTGTGAAATTAGGAGGTTACTGAACTATCTCTGCATTTCGTGGTCACCATAAGCAAATGGGGCCCATGATACTTATCTCAGAGAGACATTGTAAAGGTTAGAAATATTATAGGTTATTAACTTTGCAAATGAGTGGCATATGGTAGATGTTCATAATAGGCATTATTGTCATCATCCATTCAAATAATTTGAACTCACAAAAGCAATAATTTAAGAATACATGCAACAAATGTCATCAGGAGAGCATAAATAAATACCATGCTATGATAGTACAGTGCAGGAGAGGTGCACTTGGTTAAAGAGAGGACATGAAAAACAGGATAGAATTTCAAGAACTACATAGAATGTGGAAGAACTTCCAAGCAAAACAATGGCTTGAACAAAACCATAGATTTAGAAAAGCTGGCATAGACATAAGTAAAAACAATTTGTTTTTTAACACAGACCACACAGAGTAGAATAATGAAGAGACTGATGTTATGATTTAATTATATTTTTAAAATTATATATGAAGATGCAAGTTAAAACAAAGGCATAGCCATGGGGACAATTTCAGACTTTTAAAAGTAGTAAACAGTTTAGTGCTTCCACGTCTCTCTGCCTTGGAGCATGCATTCCAAAAAGTTAAGCACAGAATAATCTACCACATAGTACCACAAAATGTGTTTGTTGATGGCTGAATGGGTTATTATGACTATTTTCTTCCAGGCCATTGGGCATGAGGGACACTGCCACCCATAGACAGGGTCTGTCTCCTTGCTGGAAGTTCTCCTATTTCAGTATGTGGCGGAGGCCTAAGACTAGACTTGCTCTTGGTGAGTGGCACGATAAATCTTCCCACATCTCTCTTGTTCTAAAAATCCTACAAAGACCCTTCCTTCTTCACAAGATTAAATTCAACCTCAGGAACATGGCAGAAGTGGCCTTTTGTGACCTGGACCGTGACAGATTTTCAAGCCATAAGATTTTCTACTTTTCCCTTACCCCTGGGGCTGACACACCGACTTCTTAGCTGTTACTGAAACACCCCATGCTATTTCATGTTTCTTCACTTTTTGTGTATCATTTCTTTAAGCTGAAATACTTTTACATATTTTTTTTGCAGTTTTTAGCATCCAGAATAGCATCCTGCCCATGAAAGTCACATAAAATATTTGTTGAATTGAAATACTTCTGTATCTCTGAACTTGTACACTAATATAATCCAAGATCTTTCACCAACTGTGGAACGATGCACCTGACTGAAAACCAAAAGCCAGGGAATCTCAGTCTTGCTCTCCCCTCAGAAACTCATGTTGCCCATAATACCTGTTAAGCTTCTAAAAAAAATACTATTATGAGTTTAGTTTCTCTGTGAATTTGTCACTGAGGACACTGAAGCACAGAGTAGTTAAATGACTTGACAGTGTCAGAGAAATACTGTTAAGCACTAAGATTCAGGTCTGTGAGTGCGAAGTCAGCTTATTACACTCTATTGCCTGACCTGGGAACATGGAGGGCTTTCATGATTGTCATCCAAATTTTATGTTCTGCAAGACATGGATCAAAAGAGTCTGCCTGTTTAAAAATAGAGCAAATGTTTTTAGTCCATCAGGTTTCTACATGGTTGAGTACTAAAAAGATAATCAATTTATTCAATTTGGAAGAAAATTATATTAATTTCCTGTGTATTAAGTATGTTTAGTCTCTGTCCTGAAATATCAGTGAGTTTGGTGTATCTAATTGCACTTCGAGTTCCCTTAATTTATTATTACTTAATAAATAGTGGTTAATTTATTTAACATTTTTAAACACCTAATCTTTGAAAAGCCCAAAGTTAAATACAGTATAGAGAAAATTATATGAGTGAATTCCATTATTAGGCATACATTTTGTTTAAAACACTCTCTTTTGGTGTAGCTATATTCAAAATATATAAAATAATGTCTTAATCTTTGAATATTTACAATTTAATTTTGGGAGATAAAAATATTTTTTTTATTTAGTTTATATTGCCTTATCAACATTTTAAAGGTTTAGCTTACAAAAAAAACCCAAAACAGACAGAAATAAAGAAAATCCCTGTACTATTGAACAGAAATATTAAACATAAAGAAATTATAATAAAAAATAGTAAAAAATAAATAAAAATCAGAGGTGTGTAGTCTACAAAATATTTTCAAAGTTTTCTATAAACTTGTTAGAATCTGGCAACATATTAAGTTCTAACCTTACTAGTAGTCCCTTCAGAAAGGGAAATGGTATGTGCTACAATTTTATAGTTTCCATTTTATTAAGAAAAACAGTTGCACAGTAGAAAACAATTATTGCAGAGATGGTATCTCCTAATAAATAGAACACTGCAATGCAATGGACAAACTGTGTCAATTATATTGGAATGGGCTTTTTAATTAAAAATATACAAGAAGGTAGAAAATGGCACCGAGCACAAAGAATGAATACTAATTTTAAAACATTTCACTATGATTCACATCAGTTCCAAATATTAATGGAAATATAATCCCTTTATCCATTTCTAGAGGAACAGAGGCACTACAGAACTGTTTATAAAATCATCTGGAAAATAGCATCCTTTCATGATCACTAGACACCTATATGCCAGAATTGGTGCCAGATATAAAGAAAATGTCCTTTTGTAACCACTGAATTTTAAAGTTTTACCATGACAGATGATAACTCTGGGACAACTATAATAACAAGAGTTAAAATAAAAAGAGGTGAAGAATTCTGCTTTTAGTCATGAAGAACTGGATAGTATCATCTTAATATTCACAAGAACAACTTGATAAACTAGGTGAAGTTTTTAAAAAGCATGAGTTCGAAGCCACCCTAGAGCAACTAAGCCTGTAAGATTGGAAAGAAAAAAGGTCTAAAAAGAAGGGAAGCATAGGAAGATAATCCAATGTGTACCAGTTTTCCAAGTGGAAATTTACTAATTCCTTAGCAGTAGCCGAGAAGTTGAAAAGTAGAGCAGAATTATGTAAAAGCCTGAAAATCTAAGAATAATATTCAATAATCTAACAGTAATTTAATATTCTGCCAAGATACATTTTGAAGGACAGAATCTTCTACGAAAGAAACCTTAGTAAATGTGCAACCTTTCAAAAGCTGCTTATGTAAAGAAAGCATGATATGAAAATTAAAAAGCACTTATAAAAAGACTGAATCCCAGCTTCAAGTCTGATAAACCTCAGACTGGATTAAGATGATCTACGCCTACCTCAACTATATGAAAAAAAATAAAAATAAATTCTAAGTGTAGGAATATAACACCACTCAGAGCCTCAAATAGTTTCTAAAGTATTTCATGACATTTAATAGAAAACAGCAGGCATACAGAAACCAAAAAAATCTAAAATTAAGAGGAAAAAAGTTGACATTAGAAAAAAAAATCCTCAGGAGAATAAAATATTTTTATCAGACAGAGAAAGAAAAAATGTAGTATGTTCAAGAGAATAGATGATTTGATGGGCAATGTCAACAGAAAATATAAATCAATGGAAGACAGAAATACACTGAAATTCTAGAATGTAAAATAAAATAATCAAAATTAAGAACTCAATATATGAGATTAACATAAATTAATGCCACTGTGGAGATACTTAATGAACTGACCAATAGGTCAGTATATCAAGACTAAGATATGGAAAGAAAATAAAAAGTAAAAATTCAGACAAAAAAATGTAAGAGACATATGAGACCTAGCCAATGGTCTGCCATATTTGTAATTGGTGTTTCTGAATAAGGGAAGAGAGATAAAAGGAGAGAAGAAATATTTAAAGATATAAGATTAGAGAGCTCTCAAAATCTAATGAAAGATATCAAAGCACAGACACAAGAAGTTTAAAAAAACTAAGCAGGATAGGTAAAAGGAAAACATGACAGGGATCACAGCAAAACTGCTAAAAACTGAAGAAATGAGAATGTTTTCAAAGGAGCCAATGTTTCCTGTTTTTTTGTTTTGTTTTGCTACATGTTACTTTCAAAGGAGCAACAAGACCTCTGTGCACAAAACTACTTATTACTATTAAAATAAATTACAACCTGCAAGAATGGAAGAATTTTTACATTTATGAATGAGAGGGCTCAGTATTTTAAAGGTTCAGTTTTCCTTAATTTGACCTATCAACTCAATGAAGTTTCATTTAAACAGTGAACTATAAAATCAAAGGGCCAAGCAAGCAAAAACAATTGTGAAGAATAGAGCCAATTGGCACACACCACCAAACACCGCCACAGTAATTAAGACAATTTGGTATTGGCATTCAGAGAGACACATAGATTAATGGAAAAGAAAGAAGAGTTCAGAAATAAACCTACTCTTATGCGACATTTGAAATTAGTACAGGTAAATATACACAAATGGGGATAGATATTCCTTCAATGAATGATGCTGAATCAATTGATACTTATATGGAAAAAAAAATCTTGGCTCCTACTGTATACTTTAAACAAAAGTTATTCCAAGTGGATTTTAGATAGAAACATGAAAAATAAAGGGAAATAAATTAGGTACAATATATCCTATCAATAGCAGAATCGAGTAAACATTTATACCTTAGAACATTATACAGTATCTTAAATAAATGAACTGCTACCACATTCAACAGCATCAGTAAGTCTCACCTAAAATGTGTTGTTAAATCTAGGGGGTGATTATATGGGTACATTTGCTTTGGAAAACACATAATTTTACATTTAAGATCTTTGCATCTCTCTCTCTCTCTGTGTCTGTCTCTTACACACATACACCTACACACACACACACGTGTGTGTATTAGACTTCATTAAAATTTTTATTTAATAATAAAGTAAGGGTGAAATTCTGTGCACATTTACTCCTCTTGTCTCCTACTCAAGGCACACTGCCGCCTTTGTACCCTTTGTACTCTACTGGGGTACCTCTTCGTATGTGATAGGATTGGTTCTCTTTAAAATCATGCAATATGGAAGATCAGCATTTGCTCCAGCTTTACACAAAAAAATATATATTTTTTTTTCTTTTTGAGACAGAGTCTCACTCTGTCATCCAGGCTGAAGTGCAGAAGAGCTATCTCAGCTCACTGAAGCCTCTGCCTCCTGCATTCAAGTGATACTTTGACCTCAGCATCCCAAGTAGCTGGGATTACAGGCTCCCACCACGAAGCCCAACTAACTTTTGTATTGTTAGCAGATATGAGGTTTCACCATGTTGGCCAGGCTCGTCTTGAACTCCTGGCCTCAAGTGATCCACCCACCTCGGCCTCCCAGAGTGCTGGAATTACAGGTGTGAGCTACCGCGCCTGGTCAAAAATAATATTTTCTTCATGTCCCTGATTTGAAAATTGTTGGCAAGCACTCCCCTACTAGACTACAAGCTTATTAAGGCAGAACCTTGCTTATTCTTCTATTTTTATCTTTTAGAACATCACTATCCCTTAGTATTCATTAAATGTAGCAACAATTTATTTAAATAAAGGAAGAAACTAAGTTATAGAAATCATAAGACTTTCAGTTACATATATCTGAACATTTATTAAGGGGAAAAGGTAATTTATAATCTGAGAGACCTAAGTCTGGCTGCTGGCTCCCAGAAAAATGAAATCCAGTAGCTAAAATAGCAAGCAGGGGTTTTGTTTCTTTCTACTTCTCTGAATTCTGTTTAGCTGAGCTTGATTTTGTTTGGGCAGACTACCTCCATATGTCAGACAAAACAGTGAATGGCAAGCTAGGACTCACATTTTTCCAGTGTAACAATCCGAGTGGACAAAGCCTTCCTTCCCTGATAATTCAAGCAGAAAAACTCTGGGATGGGATCTAATTGGATCAAGGGTCTATTTTGGAATCAATCACTGTTGAGAGACAGAATGAAGACCCTGATTAAGTGGCTGGGGACATTCCTGTAGTTGGAGATGGGGCAGGTAGGACTGGCTCCTTTTGAACCACATAGAAACAGGGTTACACACAAAATAAATCACAAGTATTACTTTAAACACGAATAAGTGTTATCTACATTCATTGACACAGAATGAAACCCGATAGAATCATATCAAGAGAAAATATTCAGAAGTTGAGGGGTCGTAGGGAGGTAGAAAGGGAGGCTGTGGAAGAGAAGAGAAATATTAGATCAGAGAAGGAAAACTAATCATCTGTGGGTCTGTTAATGGGAATATTCTTCTAAATCTTGCCATTGTTTATTTTGCCCTAAGGATGTGGGATGATTGAAAATAAGAAAAGCTTTACCTTACTCCCCTACATTCACAGGTCATGACCATAATATTATTTTTTTTTAAATTTTAAGTGCTATACATTTTATTATTCTCTTTAAATATAATGAAGTTTGAGTCTCCTTGAATATTATAAAGGTTATTTCCAGAAAATATCATAAAAATCTGTGGCTAAGACTTCTCCTTCTGTGAATTTGGAGGAAATGTAATGTTGTCTATTCCTCCTGTTAAGTGCAACTAAAAACCCTGGATATCATATTTAAAATAAACATTAATTCCAAAGTTAGAGAGACAAAGATACAGCAGCTAGGGATTGGGGACTCAAGAAGTGGCACAGTGGAGAGTGCCCTGGTATTGCTTTTTACCTTACATGTTTGAGACTTGGAGCTGAAGAAGCTAGCCACCCAGAAACACCAAAGGCACACACAAAAGGAGGAAAGAACGAGAAAAAGCCTGTTCTCTTCAGCTAGAGGACCAGGGAAGGCAGTCTAGCAAGACAGAAAAGTTTCAGATAACAACCTTGCTAGTCCAGCCAAACACCACTGAAATAATTGTACCCACCGTCACTCATATCAACAAAGGCCCAGGGGAGCCTTAGACTTCCACATTTCCCAGGCAAAACTGAGCATCGACTAAACTTTAAAGCCTACTCAAGAATTAAGTCAAAATGAACTACAGAACTAAATTTACAACATGAAACTAAAACTTTTAGAAAAACATGTGGAGAAAATCCTCAAAAAGTTCTTAGACAACACCAAACTCATGATCCATAGAAGAAAAAAAACCGATGAATTAATTTCATCAAAATGAAAAAAATGTTAGCTCCGTGAAACAGCTTATTTGGAAGAGAAAAAGACAAACTACAGACTGGGAGAAAATATTTGCAAACCACATATCTGTAGTATCTCATCCAATTTAAAAATATTCTCAAAACCCAACAGTAAAAACAAAACAAAACAAATAAAAAAAACATTTCAATTATAAAATGGATGCAAAATATAAGCAGCCATTTCCCAGAAGAATGTCCAAGACTGCTTCAATAGAAGACAAGATTGGCTTTCATTTGTTTTTTAAATTGTGTTACTATGATAAATAAGCGATGACTACATTTATTATAAAACGGATTAGTCTCAGGAGGTTGTAATGAAGTAAAGTCAAAGAACTGTTTTTCTGATACATTTCTCCTTTGGGTTTTTAGCTTTAAAAGCCTATTCTGAGTATATCTCTATTTTAAAATGCTGTCTCATGAAACATAGTTACATATGCTCTTGAAAATATAAATCACTATTTCAAACTCTATGAAAGGCATCCACTTACTAATGCAGATCAAAACACGTCTCAGTATTTTAATATACAATTTTTATCAATCAGAAACATCTTTTATTTATGTTTACTTTTCTTTCAATGAAATAGAATTTTGGCCTCCCACAAATTAACATTTTGAGAGAGTAGAATATAGTCTAAAATGTGAAAAAAAAAATCAACAGTACATAGAGGCTCACAGATGAGGTTGAATTTAATTATTTTTATATTAAAAATATATGCATAAACGTATTTTAATTAATATCTTTTTTGTATAACCATTATTCATACAGTTTAAGTTTTAAAATTTAAAAAGTCTCTTTGTCTTGGATATGGGACCTGGATTCTACTTTCAATATATCTGCATTTATCAAGTCAGTCTATAGATCCCTGTTTTTTGTTTTGTTTTGTTTTGTTTTTAACCTGGAGCACTTAGATGGCCATTTAAAAAAATACTTTCCTTCTTAATTGTCCTCTCTCTACAAATCTTTTTACAAATTAAAAGGGACAACTTTTAAGTATTAACCACATCACATCTCTTACCTCTTGCTTAAAAAACTGTCTAGTCATTTCTTGTTACAAAGAAAATAAAACCTAAACCTCTGACAATGGTGTTCTGCTCAATATCACTAGCTCCCTGCCTGCCTCTCTGATCTGACATCAACCCCAACCACTCTCCTAGATCCTCTACAAACTTTGCATTGCTGTCCTTCTGCCTCATATGTCCTTTTCCCTAATCTTCTCATATTTGGGCTTCTCTGACTTTTCCAGCTCAACTGAAATATTACTTTTTCAGAGATACCTTTAGCATGTACATCCTAGTTGAAACCCTGGTCTTCACGCCCCATCAACATACTCCACTTCATACTATCAAATGAGTCTACTCAGTTGTGCCTGTGTTTGTTTTTCACAACATTACCGCATTTTAAATAATCTCATTTATGTATTATTTTTCATTTTTTCCAATCTGACCCCTCTCTCAAGAAAATATGCTTAATCAAGATCAGGGCAGAAATTTGGTCTTTTTGGCCCCTTTATTTTTATTACCTAGAACAGGGCTGGGATACCAGGAATAGAGGATATATGTGTTTAATGCATAAATGAATAAATGCATCACTAGATAATTATTATACAATTTTAAAAGCCACCGTTTACATAACTTAGAAGAGTTATGTAACCTCTGTGAGATATTTTTTTCCTGTCTAAATTGGATGGAATACATTTCTCAGAAACTCATAATATTAATTTCATATTTTAAATTCTGGAAACCACACTTATGATAGTTCTTTCCTGCCTTTCTTCCTAAAATCCCCATAGCTGGATTTTTTTAAATTTTTATTTTTTTATTTCAATAGGTTCTGGGGGAATAGGTGGTGTTTTGTTACGTGAGTAAGTGATAGAGTGCTGATTTCTGAGACTTTGGTGCACCCATCACCCGAGCAGTGTACACTGCACCCAATGTGTAGTCTTTTATCCCTCACTTGCCTTCCACTCTTTCCCCCCAAGTCCCCGAAGTCCATTGTATCATTCTTATGTCTTTGTGTTCTCATAGCTCAGCTCCCATTTATGAGTGAGCACACATGATGTTTGGGATTGGAGACCATTATTTTAAGTGAAGTAACTCAGGAATGGAGAGCCAAGCATAGCTGGATCTTAAGAAAAGTGAGGAAAAGGAGGAAGAAGAGGAAAAGGGAGTGGGGAGAGGAACAAGTAGCAGAAGGATTGGACGGAAACAAAGAGACAAGAAAGAGAAGAGAGAAGGGGAACGACAGGGAAAAAGCAAAAAAAAAAAAAAAGGAAATCCTCAAATGCTAAAACTTGAAGAACAAACCTAAATATAGTCAGATCACTGAGCATGTAAACATTAATTCATTTATTCAACCGTGTAGCATTAAATTAGGGGTGCTACCAAGTTTATGCCAGAGTTTTCACAAAATTTGGCAAATGTGCTCTTATAAATCACAAGGTTTTTTACTAAAAAGAGTTATTTTGAGGGGCAGGTTAGGTGATTTTTAAAAACACAAAGGAACAATAAATTGCTTATTTGGGAAACTCTGGCACCCCAGATATTGGTACCAAATATTGGTATATGCTGGCTTTTCACCATATAAATCCACAGAAATCAAGATACAGCAGGTACTATGAGTGCCAAATTTTACAGAGGGTCAGCATAGCTAGGGGTCCATATAACCTGGAGGTTGATTTTGGTTTCATGTTGATAGAAAAATAAATTAGTGATAAATTAAAGATGATAGAAGCCTTTCAGCCCAAAATACAACCTGTGTTAAATTTACTGCGTGAAACACAAATTGCAGAATCTCTGGTTATTTTGTGAACCTCTCTATCAAATCTGCATCCCATGAGACTCCTTGCCAGCTATAATCTTTTGGAGAAGGATCACTTTAGAATAGGCTGCTGCTAGATTTACCTGAGCTTAACATTTATTTGGAAATATTGATTACTCAAAATCTGAGTAGGCTGTCAATATGATTGTCTGTGGTTAATTTTATGTGCAAATAATCATGGCCAATGATGTCACAACATACATTTTAAAACATGATAAGGTTTGTTCCTTAGCCATGAGCCTTTCTGCTTGGTTCATTCCTTCTTTTTATTTTTTTCTTCTATGGTATAAGGACATTTGGAAAAATAAACTCAAATGAAAAACAAACTTACTTAGTGCAGTTAATCCCAAAATCTAGCAAGAAGTATTGAAAGAATGTTGGATTTTTTGAGAAAGATTTTGGGACACATTTTTAACTTTGACTATACTGGCTGTTTTGCAGTGATCCCTTACGATTGTTTAAATTTTCTACATGAAAGCAGTTGTTTGATTTTCAACCACACAGGCTCCAAATAACACTCTATGAACTAAGAATACATAGTACAAGCACACAGCAAATTCCTTAGCGTTGTGACATGTGTCCTATATTGTCCTGCAGAGTGGCATATTATAATTTGAGTTTATTTCTTCTTGTATGAAGTGTGTATTCCATTTGCTTGATATAATCCCGACTTATACTCCTTGTCCATACATATTTATTAATAGCTCACCTTGGTACAATGAAAAAGTCTGAATATGAAAGGTAAAAGATATTTACCTTTCTATTGGTCGGACTTTGCTGACTGTATCAAGAAGGGAGTGGCACACACCACCATTCTAAAGGTAACCTATAATTTTGCCTAAGACTCTAGCCTTGGCCATTTCATGGTCTGAGTCTAGAGATAAAGCAAGCAATATTTAGACAAAATCATTTGTCAGTGTGGAAGAGCAGTCATAGGCTTTTCAGACGGCAATGGACAGACTGTTCTGGCAGCTAAATCCCCTCCACTAAGCTGATACCACATTTCAGATTCTCATACAACAACATTCTATTTCTGATACTGAATTCTATATTAGTTAGTAATTAAGCTCAGCTACATTTAATAGACTATCCAGTGAAAAATGGCTTACACAAAGATGGGGCAATGTTTACAAGTATCAAAAGAGGCAGAGCAAGCAATATTATCATTCCACTCTAATACAGCAATTTTCTAAGTATTCATGTGAACACAGGAATCTCCAAGACCCTGATGGATGTTCAATGTCTACACCATTTATATAATAATACCATAATTGTTACTTGCCTTTTTGCAAGGTGTGGACACTGGCATTAATGACACAAAAGAAACAGTAGTGAAAACTGTTGGCATTTTAGTACAAATCAAGGCAATGGAACCTTCTATTCTAGTAGACATTTATCTCTTCATTGTCACACAATTGAAGGCAAAAAGCCTGTTTCACTTTAAAATGCCTTTGATGAGGCAATAAAGGTACTATGTTTGTCAAATTTTGAGTTGAATCCATCTATTTTTAATATTTTATGTGACAAAATGGGAGGACATATAAAGCATTTTGGATGCATACCTAAGTAAAATGCTTGCCTCAAAAACAAAACACTTGTGCTTGTTTGAGTTGCAAGCAGATGAGCTGCTTTTTTCATGAAATACTATTTTTACTTGAAATACAGGACTGAGAGACAAACTATCTATGTTCAGAAAAGTGTATGGCAGGTATTTTTTCAATAATAAACTAAGTGCATTTGTCTCTTCAAATAAAACAGTTGACATCATGTATTGTCAATTATAATATATGAGGTTACAAATGAAAACTGGAATTTTGGAGAAGTTGTTATCTCCCAATGTGAGATTGGCTGTTTTTCAAAAGTTAAAGACTTTCTTATTAAAATATTGGCGATATTAACAAATGGGTTTTGTATGTTTTATAATTAACTATGCTAGCAGTTGGAAAGTCTGCATAAATCAGTGAGCTAATGTTTTTAAATAATTAGTGCATGATGTTACAAAATCATGCATGGGTAAAAGATCAACTCAAAGTGCAAGACAGATCAATAGATATTTACATAACCCAGTAAAGAATATTTTATATGAATTTTAAACTCCACATTGAAACTCACCTGTAAGAAACTTAACACTTATCAGTTTGGTTTATTATCAGAGAATAAAATCCACAATCATCTTAAAAGGTTATTAAAGTACACTTTCTTTCTCAACTACTTATGCCTTATCCGTGCAAGAACAGATTTTTCCTGTATACTTAAATTTTTAGAAAGCTCATAACAGATTGATGCAGAAGCAAATATGAAAATCAAGCTGTCTACTTTCATACCAGGCCTTACAGTCTTTTTTAAAAAAGTAAAGTAATGCCATTTTTCTCTCGAAATACATTGGTTTTTGAAAAATATAAACATGAAAAATACATTTTGAAAAATATAAACAAATATATGCAATTCAAGTTAAACTATAATGTGATTAATATAGTGTTTTTCAAAAAAGGAACTACTGTGGCTCAAGCCTGTAACCCCAACACTTTGGGAGGCCGAGGCGGGCAGATCACAACGTTAGGAGATTGAGACCTTCCTGGCTAACATGGTGAAATCCCGTCTCTACTAAAAATACAAAAAAATTAGTGGGGCGTGGTGGCGGGCGCCTGTAGTCTCAGCTACTCAGGAGGCTGAGGCAGGAGAATGGGGTGAACCCAAGAGGCGGAGCTTGCAGTGATCCGAGATTGTGCCACTGCACTTCCAGCCTGGGTGACAGAGCAAGACTCCATCAAAAAAAAAAAAAAAAAAAAGGAACTACTAATTATTTCTTAATTTTAATTTTAATGTGCTAATTTTCAACTGATACAACTTATATAATCATAAACTCTCTTGGGTATTCAGTAAAGAAATTTTGGACCAAAATATTTGAGGAACACTATTCTACTATAAGGCACATGGTTACAATTTAGAACATATGACCTTATTGTTTCTATGAATACACAAGTAATGAATCACTGAAACAAAAATGATTAAATGAGAAAAATGATACTTGGATATGTATTGCTACATCCTTATTTAATATACACGAAGACAGAAGACTAAACAACCACCACCAAAATAAGTCAGGCATACATATATGGAGAGAGGCAAAGAGACAGAGATTTCTTAGAAGAATTATGGAGCATAAGAAGCCTCATGAGCTGCCATCTGCAAGCTGGAAAACCAGAAAAGCCTGTCTTGTAATTTAGTCTGAGTCTGAAGGCCTAAGAACCAGATTTTAAAAATTTGTCAAAAGTCAAACGTGTTAAGGGATTCAGGCAAAGGGTCATCAGATTTGCCCAGTTTCCCAGATGTATATTTTTAAAAATTAGAGAAAGGAAAAGTTGTGGCACAATAACATATCTATATTGCCTATATGCAACAGCTTTGCAAAAATTAATGTAGGATGTCAAAAAGGTTTTAAAAACACTTACAGTTTCTGACTCGGTAATCTCAGTTGTAAGATTCCAGCATGCTCCAAATATGACTCAGTAGTAAATCCAAACTCCAGCAAACCTAAAAACATGTAAAACTTCATCATAACATTATTTATAATAGAGAGACACTGGAAACAATGATATATCTAAGAATACCATGGTACATGTGCACAACGGGATGTTCTATAGCCAGAAAAATAACATTTGTAAAGTGACTTTTATATAGAAAAACATTTATTAAGTACAAAATAGCCATACCTGAGGTATTAGTTACAGTTCTCTAGAGGGACAGAACTGAGTCTAAAGGCCAAAAAACCAGGAGCATTGACGGCCGAGGGTAGGAGAAAATGAATGCCCCATCTCAAGCAGAGAGAGCAAATTTGCCCTTCATCTACGTTTGTTTTATCTTTGCCCTCAATGGATTGAATGGTGTCCACTTACTTTGGAGAGAATAAACTTTATTCAGTCTACTGATTCAAATACTAATCTCATTTGAAATGCCCTCATAGACATATCCAGAAATCATGTTTTACCAGCTATTTGGGTATTGTTGACAAAAAGAGTCAAACTCTGTAAAATATTTTAAGAGATTTATTCTGAGCCAAAGATGAGTGACCATGGCCCTTGACACAGCCCTCGGGAAGTCCTGAGAACACGTGCCCAAGGTGATCAGGGTGAAGCTTGGTTTTAGACATTTTAGGGAGGCATGAGACATCAATGAAATACATTTAAGAAATACATTGGTTCACTTCAGAAAGGCAGGACCACTCAAAGTGGGGGACTTCCAGGCAATAGGTAAATTTAAACATTTTCTGATTGGCAATTGGCTGTGTTTGTTTAAAGTCCTGGGATCAATAGAAAGGAAATGTTCAGATTAAGATAAAAGACTGTGGAGACCAGGGTTCTTTTGAAGCCTTATAGTGGCTGCCCTTAGAGACAATGGATGAAAAATATTTCCTCTTTACACCTTTAAAAGGCACTAGACTCTTAATATTTTCAGGATTGGGGGGGCCTGGAAGAAAAAGATCTAGCTATGTTAATGGAGATTCTTTACAGATGTACGTTTTCCCCCATAAAGGACAGCTTTGCAGGACCATGTCAGAATATGGCAAAGAAACATGTTTTGGGCTAAAATATTTTGACTTTCTTCTTTGTCACATAATGTTATGCCAGAGTCATATTGGAAAGTATGACATGCTATATAGGGTTAAATAAAAACCATCTGATGAGAATTTATGGTTTGTAAGGCATGGCTCCCCAGACCCCTTAGATAGGAATTTGGGCAAGATAAAAAAAATAAGAGCTTAGTTCTCAGTATCCTTCAGCCCAGTCAAGTTGACACATAAAATGAATTATCACAGTATCTTAAAATGTTTTAATAACATGGGGAAAAAATAAATCAGGAGAAAAATAATATGTATCAGCAAAAGGAGGATTGCAATTGGAGATGATCAGGCTTCATCTCATTGAGGAGATGGCATTTCAGCAAAAGTGTGGAGAGGATGAGGAAGAAAACTACGTAGCTATCTAGAGAAAGTATTAATTCACTTGACATATTACAAAATGGCATAGTGGCTCAGAATGAGGAGTAGTAAAAATGAGGCCAGAGAAATAATGAATAAGCTTGATAGATTATATAGGACATTTTAGAAACCTCTAAAAACTTTAGCTTTTGCTTTGCACAAAAAGAGATACAGTGGTAGGTTTCCAACAACAAAATCCCCTTAAAAAATTATTTGAATGTTATGTCAATAATAGATCATGGAAATTCTGGAAGAGAGGAAAAATAGAGACCAGTTAGGAAGTATTACAATAATTTAGAAGAGATATGATGGTGTAAATCAAAAAGTATCTGAGACAGGTCTCAATCAGTTTAGAAGTTTATTTTGCCAAGGTTAAGGACATGCCTGTGACAAAGTGTCAGATGACCCTGAGAATGTGCGCTCAAGGTGGTTGGGCTAGAGCTTGGTTTTATACATTTTAGGAGGACTTAAGACATCAATGAATACATGTACATTTGTTCAGTCCAGAAATGCAACACAACTCAAAGTAGGGTGGGAGTGGCTGGGGGTGGAGAGCTTCCAGGTCATAGGTGGATTCAAAGACTTATCTGATTGTCAGTTGCTTGAAAGAGATGACTAAATACCTAGAATCAATAGAAGGGAGTGTCTGGGTTAAGATAAGGGGTTGTGGAGATAAAGGTTTTTATTATGCAGATGAAGTATCCAGGTAGCAGGCTTCTGAGGGAATATAATGTAAATGTTTTTTATCAGACTTAAAAACCTGCAAGTGGCTGGGTGTGGTGGCTCACGCCTATAATCCCAAAACTTTGGGAGGCCAAGGCGGGTGGATCACGAGGTCAGGAGTTTGAGACCAGCCTGACCAACATGGTGAAGCCCTGTCTCTACTAAAATACAAAAATTAGCTGGGTGTGGTGGCATGCACTTGTAGTCCCAGCTACTCAGGAGGCTGAGGCAAGAGAATGGTGTGAACCCAGGAGGCAGAGGTTGCAGTGAGCTGAGATCATGCCACTGCACTCCAGCCTGGGCAATAGAGCAAGACTCCATCTCAAAAAAAAAAAAATTGCCAGACTCTTAGTTAATTCTCTTCTGCATCATTAAAAAATACCTATAAATGTAAGGGGATTCTCCAGAGATTGTAGATTTTTTTCCACAAGAAACAACTTTACACGATTATTTCAAAAGATGTCAAAAAATATATTTTGGGGTAAAATATTTTTATTTCTTCTAGGGCCTGCTACCTGTCATGTTGGTATCTTATTGCTACAAACAGTCTAGTTTGTCAATCTTAAGGTTTCTGTTTTAATGTTAAATGCTAGTCAACTGTGCCTGAACTCCAAAGGGAAGAGAGTATG
Source organism: Homo sapiens (assembly GCF_000001405.40). Classification (NCBI taxonomy): domain Eukaryota; kingdom Metazoa; phylum Chordata; class Mammalia; order Primates; family Hominidae; genus Homo; species Homo sapiens. The sequence continues at coordinate 136,534,181 of NC_000008.11, read as the reverse complement.
AGGCATGTCTGACCCCCATTTCCCATTATGGCTAAACTAGTTTTTCAGGTTAACTTAGGAATGCCCTTAGCCAAGAAGGGGTTCATGCAATTGGGTGGGAGACTTGGAATTTCATTTTTGGTATACAATGGTGACTTTATAATATCAGTAGAGTTGATTAGAAATAAATAGTGAGGAGTAAAAATGGTTACAGTCATTAAACATAGGGTATGTAAGAAAAAGAAGACACATTGACAATTTGAATGATGTAGTAATTTGAGTGACCATGTGATATGGTTTGGCTGTGTCCCCACCCAAATCGTATCTCCCAGAATTCCCATGTGCTGTGGGAGGGACCCAGTGGGAGGTAATTGAATCATGGGGGCTGGTCTTTCCAGTGCTATTCTTGTGATAGTGAATAAGTCTCATGAGATCTGATGGGTTTATTGGGGGTTTTTGCTTTTGCTTTTTCCTCATTTTCTCTTGCTGCCACCATGTAAGAAGTGCCTTTCACCTCCCGCCATGATTCTGAGGCCTCCCCAGCCACGTGGAACTGTAAGTCCAATTAAACCTCTTTTTCTTCCCAGTCTCTGGTATGTCTTTATCAACAGCATGAAAGAAGATTAATAAACCATGGGAAAATGGGTAGAATTGAGAATACTCAATTGCATTTATTGAGTTGGTGAATACTATATTCGAAAAGAATGAATCTAGAATTTAGTTTTGGACATATTGAGTTTTAAGTGTCTGTTAAATGAAGATTTGAAGATATTGGCAGTTCTGTGGTCAATTCAAGGACGGAAATAGAAATTTGGGATAATCACCATATATATATTTAGTTTCTTAAAAGTATGATACCAGTGAAATCATCACAGAAATGAAACTCATAGAAGACTAAATGTTCAAGGTATAATGCCTTAGGGCTCTCCAGAATTCAGAATTCACGCTAAACAAAATAAACACCTGAAAGAAATAAAGGAATTTCCAGTATGCCGAACTGAAAACTAGATGAATATGGTGTCTTGGAAGTCAAGTGATAAAAGAATTTTAACAAGCAAAGGGTAATCAGCTGTGTCAAATGATGTTGATAAGTCAACTTAGATTAGAATTTACAATAGTCATTGTATTTAGAAAGGTGAAGGTAATTGAGTTGTTTCAGTGGAGTGGTCTGAAGAGTGAATGATACAGATTTAAGAGGATATAGTAGCAAAAGAGCAGAAAACAGAACACATTTACATACATTTTGAAAATGTTTTTCTGTGAACTCGGTAGGCAAAAGACAAACTGAGGGACAGAGGTAAAGACAAGATAAGGAAAATTATCTTATAATAGAAGAACAACATTATCAGATACCATTTATAATCTGCCTCAGATACCCTCAGTCTTACCTATCTCTGGGGACCCTGGCTGCTTGCTTTGCCCAATGGCCATACAGATTAACATTACACAGATACCACCCAGCTGTGCCACAAGGGGCATCTCAAGTAGTTTTGCTGCCTAAGCCTTCCATTTAGATTTCCAATTCTAGGGTTACTTCAGATCCAGAAAGCACAACATATGCAAAAACTTATTTGGCTTCTTTTGTTGAAAGTGAAAGAACACTGAAGTTCAGAGAATATTTGTGAGATGAACTTTGACTATGGTAGAATATGAAACCTTTACTGCTGCTCAGATGAACTATTTGGGGAGTATTATTACCTAACTGTTTTACAGTGAGTTAAATTATTCTGTACACATTCGCTGTACTTAATTTCTGTAGTATGCAAATACATATTGAGATAGAGGTACTTAGCATCTGACAGAATAATCATTTATTTCTTTACCTTCAGTGTAAGGACCATTATAGTAGGATACGGAAAGTAATCCCTGAGACAGCTCTCCCCCACCCTATATAGTAAACCAGAAGCAAAAATACATCAGAAGAGAAATTTAAAAGATTAGCACCATCCTCAAAAAATGGAAAGATAAATGATGTCATTTTCCCATTTAATTCCCTCATCTAGACTCTGAAAATAATTATAATGATTAATAATAAAATTAGATGGTTCCTGACAAGTATTTATGGAATATTAAAAAATTAATCCAGTAGTAGTAGCATTAATTGCAGTTCCATGGTTAAATGTGCTTTCATTTTGTAATAGATCAACACTGCTTCTCATACTTACTGTACAGCTAATGATCTCAAGCCCCACTGGTTGAGAAAGTAAAAATGCTTTGCCTTTTCAGAGCAAAGATAGCAGTACCCCTTAACAGTCTTGCCACAGGACCGTGTCAAATTTCTTGTTCTCTATCATAATGCAGTCCTCCGGGACTTTATGCAAAATGTAAAATTGGTCCAGTGTATTGAAGGCAATAGGCCAATTGAACCTACTAATCAAAAAGTGTCAAAGACCCTAGACCCTTTCAGTAAGACACACACGCACCATAGGGTGAAAGATAAACCACTCAAAGATTATGAATCGTATCACACTAATGAACTTTTCTGGAGCATGCTGGCCGGCACAGCCTAAGATAAAGAGCAATATGGTATATCTCATACCTTCTAACAATAAAATAGGGCACAGCTATTCGTGGTCATCTTTCTATGCGGAGGCAGCATACATCAGATTTAGTAATACTTCTACCAAGTAACTTAGTGGTTTGACAGTTGCATTTTGGGCCCAGCACTAGAAGAATGTGTTCTGCTACACATTTATGATCACATATTAACTCCTCTGACACTTGGGAAAACTGACCAAGAAACCTGGTGAAGCTAGAAATCTTCAAGGTGAATAAGCATGCCACATGGCATCTCTGGCAAGTCCTGACATGAAAGTCACACGAAGTTGCACAGATTTCTGAGGTAAGCCCATGCATTCTCCTAGAAATAACTAGCATCTCTTTTAAAAGAATCAGCACAGACTGAAATTTGGAAAATGTAGCTCCAATCTGACTGGAACCTGCCCTAGAACTGCATATTGTCAAATCTGCTAAGTCATAAATTAGAGCAGGCACAGCAATTATTTTACAGTGGCCACATACCTTGAGGATAGAGCCAGGGACAAACATATGGCGCAACTAAACACATAAACAAATGGCTCAGAATCTCACATTTCCTCTCTTGGTTCCACAGACGCTTCTCTCTCCACTGAAACCTCTGTCTTTGTGGGGGTTTCTATACAACCAGCTGACAGATTAGAAAAGAACTCAGGCCTACCTGGTTCACAAATAGATTGGCAATCTATATGAGTGAGAGGTGACAGCGTGCTGGCAGTCCTCACAGCCCTCGCTCGCTCTGGGCGCCTCCTCTGCCTGGGCTCCCACTTTGGCGGCGCTTGAGCAGCCCTTCAGCCCGCCACTGCACTGTAGGAGCCCCTTTCTGGGCTGGCGAAGGCCGCAGCCGGCTCCCTCAGCTTGTGGGGAGGTGTGGAGGGAGAGGCGCGGGCCGGAACCGGGGCTGCGCGCGGTGCTTCCGGGCCAGCGCGAGTTCCGGGTGGGCGTAGGCTCGGCGGGCCCGCACTCGGAGCGGCCTGCCGGCCCCGCCAGCCCCAGGCAGTGAGGGGCTTAGCACCTGGGCCAGCAGCTGCTGTGCTTAATTTCTCGCCCGTCCTTAGCTGCCTTCCCGCGGGGCAGGGCTCCGGACCTGCAGCCCAGCCGTGCCTGAGCCTCCCCCCACCTCCATGGGCTCCTGTGCGACCCGAGCCTCCCCGACGAGCGCCGCCCCCTGCTCCACGGCGCCCAGTCCCATCTACCTCCCAAGGGCTGAGGAGTGCGGGCGCACGGCGCGGGACTGGCAGGCAGCTCCACCTGCGGCCTCAGTGTAGGATCCACTGGGTGAAGCCAGCTGGGCTCCTGAGTCTGGTGGGGACTTGGAGAACCTTTATGTCTAGCTAAGGGATTGTAAATACACCAATTGGCACTCTGTATCTAGCTCAAGGTTTGTAAACACACCACTTGAGAGCTTCTGCTGCTATGGAGGGGCTGGAAAATGAGGTGGGCAGGAAGAACAATGAGTCAGCCACCCTTCTACCCTACTCAAGTCTTGTTCAATTGACACACAGACAGAGTGGCCATGGTGGCCAGGATGGAGGTTTTATGGCAGCTCTTAACATAGCTTTTCTCACCAAGACTGACCTAGTGGATGTCACTGCTAAATGCACAGTCTGCTAGCAGCAAACACAGTATCTGAGTCTTTACTATGACATTAGCCCTCAGGGTGGTCTAGGTCTATTTCATAGAAACATTCTGCCCATTTGCAGAGACTGCATACTTCATAGCGCACCTCTGAAGATGTTCTTGGAAAAGATGTAATCAGTTGAGTTTGTCATAAAAGATGTAGCCAGTTTGCTAATATCTTCCCTCATATTTCTATTCCATATTTTTCTCTGCATTTCTTCCTTTTGTTCACCTCCTTCTCTTTTCCATGGAACTGTAACCAAAAAAAAAATCCACTAAGGATTAGAGAATTGCTTTACTTCAGATCCTATTTTCAAGGGAACGTGAACTCAGGTGAATAGCATATATTTTTAGGCTAATAGGAAGCATCTTGTGAGGTTGAGAAAATGGTGATGTGTTAGAGGTGTACATGTAATCATGGACTAATATCTTAAAAAGAAGACATAAGGTCTAATACACAGGTGGAGAATATTTAAACAGGAAAATTCCAAGATCTGCTCTGCAATGATAAAATTTGAAATCATATAAATTCCTGTAAGCTGCATTATCTTCAAATTAATCTTCTGTAAAATATTGATGAAAGTGGTGAGACAATAATAGTATTAATACATTTGTGTCAGAAATTGTTGAGAGGAGCTCATAAATTTGAAGGTGATTAGTAGAACAGAGTGAATTACAATCATTGATGTGCCATAGTACCTGTGTGTCATTTAGGATGTATTTGGCTGCATATATGCATATATATATGCATATACATGTGTGTGTATATGTAAGTGTGTGTGTGTGTATATATATATATATATATATATGGAGCTGAAGCAAGAGTTACAATGGTAGGAATAAAGATTTTAACTTCAGTTATGTAAAGGAAAATCTGGAAATAGTTCATTCGTGTTTGATTAGATCAATAAACAACAATGGGATGACATTTCACACCTATTAGAATGCCTAAAATTAAAAAAGCACTGAGAACTGCAAATGCTGGCAAGAACATGAAACAACAGAAACTCTTATTTATTTCTGGTAGTAATCCCAAATGGTACAACCACTTTGGAAGAGAGTTTGGCAGCCATTTCTTACAAAACTAAACATACTCTTATCATACAATCCAGCAATCATGTTACCCAAATGAGTTAAAAACTTATGTCCACATAAAACATACAGACAGATATTTATAGTAGCTTTATTCAAAATTGCCAAAACTTGAAAACAACAAAGATGTCTTTCAGTAGGTGAATGGATAAATAAACTGTGGTACATCCAGACAATTAAATATTATTCAGTGCTAAAAGAAAATGAGCAATCAAGCCATGAAAAGACATGGGGGAAGCTTACATGCATATTCCTCAGTGACAGAAGCCAATATGAAAAAGCTACATAGTGTATGATTTCAAATACATGACATTCTTGGAATGGCAAATTATGGGAACAGTAAAAGGATCAGTGGTTGCCAGTTGTTTGGAGAGAAGGTGGTATGAACAAGGGGAGCATCGAGGACTCTTATGGCCATGGGACTATTCTATATAATAGTGTAATAACAGATACATGCAATTATACATTTGTCCAAACCTATAAAATATATAACACCAAGAGTGAATCCTAATGTAAACTATGGCATTTGGGTGATAACAATGTGTCAATGTAGGTTCATAAATGATAATAAACGTACACTTTGGTGTAAAATGTTGATAGTGGAAGAGGCTATGTGTTCGTAGGGGCAAGAGGTATAAGAGAACTCTCTGTACTTTCCACTGAATTTTACTGTGAACCTAAAAGTCTTCTAAAAACGAAGTCTGAGACTGAGTGTGGTGGCTTACGTCTGTAGTCTCAGCACACTGGGAGGCCGAGGTGGGCGGATCCCTTGAGCTCAGAAGTTCAAGGCCAGCCTGGGCAACATGGTGGAAGCCTGTCTCTACAAAAAAAAAAAAAAAAAAATTTAGCTGGGTGTGGGGATGTGCATTTGTGGTCCCAGCTACTCTAGAGGCTGAGGTGGGAGGATTGCCTGAGCCTGGGAGGCAGAAGTTGCAGTGAGCTGTAAACACGCCAATGCACTCCAGCCTGGGTGATAGAGTGAAACCGTGTCTCAAAATAAACAAATAAATAAATAAATATAAAGTCTGTTTTCACTAATTTAATTAACATTCCCAAGGCAGGAATAAAGTGTAAAGGTACTTTGTGTTGCTGTTGTTGTTTGGCTCTCTTCTCTATTAATCTGCAAAGGAAATATTTTGCATAGGCTTCTAGTAGAATTCCTCTTAAAGTCTATGGGCCAGAATAGACGCCACCCAGTCAAGTTCCTATGAGAGATGAACTGAATCACAATAAGTGGCCCATCTTCCCATTCAGACTTGAGCAAAGTGAAGCTTCCCTTCACAGAAGGAGATGGCTGAGAGAGCAGCAAGCAGTAGAATCAGCCAGGAAATAATTCTAGTTTTATTCTTGCCTTGACATAGCTATGGTTCCTAAAAAGTGTGGTAGGAGCCATTTAGGACCTTACAGACTTAGGTGTCTGCAAATAATGTAGTTTGATGGTTAATTTTATGTGCCAACTTGGCTGGGCCATGGGATTGCTAGATATTTATTTAATAATATTTATTTTTATGTCTGTGAAGATGTAGCTGGATGAAATTATCATTTCAGTCAACAGATTCAGTAAAACAGAATGTTCTACCCTGTGAGTTAGCCTCATATAATCCACTGAACATGTGAATGGACTATAAGGCTAAGTAAGAAACAGTTCAATCTCTTTGCCTGATGGTCTTCAAGCTGGAACAAGTTTGCTTCAGCTTTTGGATTTGAACTTGAAGTTGAATTTACACCATTGGCTCTCCTAGTTATCTGGCCAGCAGACTCAGACTAGAAGTATATCACTGGCTCTCCTGGATCTCCAAGCTTTGCTGACTACAGATCTTAGACTTCTCAGCCTTCATAATCATATGAGCTAATTCCTTATTATATCTGTGTGTGTGTGTGTGTGTGTGTGTGTGTGTGTGTGTGTGTACCAACAGCTATAAAAGTCTTAACTGATTTCAATTATCAGCTCTAAAGTCAAAAGTATTTTTCATTCATAGTACTTTGAATATATTTTTCATGTGATAAGTATATGAGTTTTGTGAAGGCTAGGGATAGAATATTATAGACTGAATGTTTGTGTTCCTCCAACATTTATATTTTGAAGCCCTAACCCCCAGTGAAATGGTACTTGGAGACAGGGCCTTTGGGAGGTGATTGGGATTAGATGAGATCATGAAGGTGTGGTCTTTATAATGGGATTATTGCCCTTATAAGAAACATCAGAGATCTTGCTTTCTCTCTCCCCACTCTACACAAAGAAGAGGTCATTAAGTATACAGAAGGATAGTGACAACCTATGAGCCAAGGAAAGAGATTTCAGAATAAATTTACCTTGCTGGCCCCAGGATCTTAGACTTCTCAGCCTCCAGAACAACTGGTAGAAATAAATTTAGGTTGTTTAAGCCACCTAGTCTATGACATTTGTTATGCAGTCTGAGCAAACCAACACATGCAGTGACCATGAGAGACACAGGTGCCCCTGAGACTGGTTTCCTTCTTTAAGACGGGTACAAAACAAACTTCTCTGACTGTTGTATGATGAAGCTAAGAAAAGGTGTAATGTAAGGAACTAGGTTCTCTAAAAATGGTTCTTCACTTCATCATTTTCTAACTACAAATATTACACAAGTTAGGCACATTACTTCTCTTACTTGATTCCTCACCAGAAAACCAGAGGTTTTAACAATATTTACCTCATAGGGATATTGTGAAAATTAATTGAGATAATAGTCATTGTTATAGCTTTGTGCTATTGAGTGAATGCTCAATAAATGGTATCTAAAAAGGAGTCATATACATTTAAATAATATTAATTTTATCTATTTCCCTGTATCTTTACGTGTTCCTCTTTTATGACTTATTCTTCAGCCTCTGACTCACCTTGTCTTTCATGCAGCCTGCAGGGCCTCCTACCTCTGTGCTAGTTCTGAGATATAGTGAAACTGTATTTCTCTCAGGGGTGTCTGGAAACAGCAGGGTGCACTTAAAATGCAAGAAAGAAGTGAAAAATATAAAAAGGAGGAAAAATGGAACGACTTCTAATGTTAGTTTTGCCTACTAATTGCCAAAGTAATTAAAGAGCACACAGAGTTTACCAATCCATGTAATACTGGCATTCTGTGTGGCATATTCCTATACTGAGAAGAGCTGATTGACAGACTCTACCTCCTCTTTTGTTTTGGAAGCTCTGAGCTCCTTTGGGCTTTTGGCAAAGACATTGTTTTCCTTTCCCATGACAAATGCACAGATCTCAATGTTTGGCCCAAGAATTTCAGCCACAGCAGTAATGCTTCCTGCTAGTTGAGTAATTTGAAAGCTACAAATGCGTTCATATATGTAAATTCAGCTCCCACAACAGCATTGTAAGATTGGCAGAGTATTTTTCCCCATTTTACAGATTAGGAAATTGTATCCTGTTCCAAATGGATTGTGACCTATTTGAGAGAGGAGGTCATATTTTATTTGTAAATGAATTCCCAAACATAGGAACCCTCCTTGGGAATGCATAAATGAATTAGAGAGTGTATGCAGGAGGCAAGCAGAGCTCTCAGGGCTGGTGAATAGCAGATCTGTATGTAGAGTAGTAACATGCCATACTGCCTGGCTCTACCACTCACCAGCTTCACTACCTTTAGAACGTCACTGACACAGTGTCTGATGAGGTCTCTGTGGAGATTTAATATAAAGTTATTAGAAAAGTTTCTGGGAGATAACAATTGCTCATTAATGCCTGCAGTCACTCTCTTCTTCTCCCTACTCTAGCTGTGTCCAGGAGTCCTTCATTCTACCCAGCAACTGTGGCTGTTTGCCTGGTTTGGAACATGAGTGAATGTGAGAGTGAGATGTGAAAATATCTTGTCATTAAAGAGAGGGATTTTGATTTATTAACACATAGTGGTCCAGCACAATGGTAGGCTGTGTATACTGTTCATAATATACAAACTACCTTATTCAACTTAAAATTAAATAACTTACACCCTGTCATGATTTTACACAAAAAGAAAGGATGTATATGAAATAGCCAGGAGGAACTAACAAGTACAAAAATTATTTCCACATACATGCTGTCATTAAAACTTCCTCCCAGCCTGGAAAATAGGCAATACTGACTCTAATTGGATATCAAGGCTCAGAAAAGAGAGATGTTTCTTTTTCCAAGGTCACATAGTTAGAAGATGGGGTTGATATTTAGTGAAAGATGTTTTTGTTTCTTAACTCAATATGCACATGCCTACAAGCATATAATACGTGTGTATTGTATGCTGGTGACAGTATTTATTTTTGACTTTTTGTCATCTTTATTTATGCTATTTCTGGAGATATATTAGATGTTTTTAAATATTTTTTACTGAGTTTTGTGCCCTCTTTCTTCTAAAAATAATATATCCCAGAAACAAGTATATAATAGTCTTTCAATATAGTTCTTTTCTGTAAAGGATGCATGCTGGAGTAGCCAGTAAGGTTAATAAAATAGCCTTAATGAGGGCTTCTCCTGAATTTATCTCCACTCACGTTCTGCTGAACTTTATTCCTAGGTCCCACTAAGTTCTTTTCTATGTAATATGATCGTTTTAATGAGGGATAGGACATGGATGAGGGCACCGCAGTGGAGAACCTCAAGCAGCTGAGAGGCAATTGTATACCCTGAGAAGCTGGTCAGAAGCAGAGATTGATCATTTGGACAAAGAAGTAGAAGAGAAATCCTGGTCAAATATAAATATTGCAGAGGCCCTGTGATGGTTAATACCGAGTGTATACTTGATTGAATTGAAGGATACAAAGTATGGATCCTGGGTGTGTCTGTGATGGTGTTGACAAAGGAGATTAACATTTGACTTGTGGGCTGGGAAAGGCAGACCCACCCTTAATCTGGGTGGGCACAATCTAATCTGCTATCAGTGTGGCTACAGTATAAGCAGGCAGGAAAATGTGAAAAGAGAGACTGGCCTAGCCTCCCAGTCTACATCATTCTGCAGTGCTAGATGCTTCCTGCCTTCAAACATCAAACTCCAAGTCCTTCAGTTTTTGGAACTGGCAGTCCTTGCCCCTCAGCCTGCAGAAGTCCTATTGTGGGACCTGTGATCATGTGAGATAATACTTAATAAACTCCTCTTAATACTTAAACTTAATACTTAATAATCTCCTCTCTCTCTCTCTCCTATATATAAAAGGAGATATATATATATATAAAATAGGATATATATATATAAAATATATATATATAAAATAGGATATATATATATGTGTATATACACATATATGTATATATCTCTTATTAGTTCTGTCCCTCTAGAGAACCCTGACTAATACAGATTTTGGTGCCAGGAGTGGTTCTAGAGGAACAGAATTGAGGATGGAGTTCTTTCACTGGTTTGGGGGTTTCTGGAGTTGGCTGCTTAAAATGATTAGACCCCAAAATGCTAAGGACACTACTTCTAATATTATGGAGAACACTGATAGTCCTTGAAGTGAACTGTTTAGAGAGCTATGGAAAATAAATGCATTTGACACTCCTGATTCATCACTTGTGAGAGGCAAGGGGTTTGGTGACCCTGTACATAATACCTCTGACCATACGTAGAGAACCAAGGAAAATAATGAAGCTAGTTGATTGGTCCTAAGTTCAGTGGGCAAAGTGATGAAAGAAAATGATGAACTCAAGGATTCTATCTCCCGGCATCAGAAGCAGATACCAAGACTCAAGTCTGCTAAGGTTGCCCTGAGTGAGAGTCTTATCTCCTGTAAAGAAAGAGCTGAAGTTGTGGAAATACAGACACAGCTACTCTTATCATGTGAGTAGCTGACCTGCAATGGAAGGTGCATGCACAGCCTCGCCAGGTGACTACTGTTAAAATGAGGGCATTGATTGGAAAAGAATGAGACCTGCAACTTGATATCGGGACATGTGGGAAGACCGGTTACCCACTGGACCCACTGTAAGTTGGAACTGAGCTAAAACTCCATTAATTACCCAACCTCCATAAGCCCCTACTTTAACTGGATGATCACTATGACGTTTTGGGTCCCCTGGAATCAACGTCAGCTCAGGAAGACCCTGATGAAGCTGGGCACACTAAGTTTGTAAACTCTGATGAAATTTTTTTGCCAGAAGAAACAGCTTCCCCATCTCCTGTAGTGGCAACATTTCCTCCCTAACCCATGCTGCCATTAGCCTTTCCACTTTTGTCTGAGGAGACAAACCCTATACTGCCTGAGGCAACAGTGATGGCCTCCCCTGAGACAGTTACCAGGTAAGATAATGTTGATTCTCCCCAGGAGCCACCCCCAACACCCCTGTTTGCTTCTAGATCTATAACTAGACTAAAGTCCCGGCAGGCCCCTAGAGGTGAGGTTGAGAGTATGACCATGAGGAGGCATACTACACTTAAAAAGAACTGCTTGAGTTTTCTAATTTATATAAACAGAAATCTGGAGAACAGGGATGGGAATGGATAGTAGGGTATGGGATAATGGTGGAAGGAACACAGAGTTGGATCAGGCTGAATTTATTGATTTGGGCCCACTAAGTAGGGACTCGGATTTAATATTGCAGCCCAGGAAGTTAAAAAGAGTTCTCATAGTTTATTTGCTTGGTTAGCTGAAACATGGATTAAAAGATGGACCACTGTGAGTGAGCTGGAAATGCCTAATCTCTCTTGGTGTAATGTAGACAAAGGGATCCAAAGGCTTAGATTGGGATGGTGGAGTCATTTAGTCACTTTAAACCTACTCATCCCAGCTGGGAGGGTCCAGAAGCTATACCCTTGACCAATGCCTTGTGAAGTAGATTTGTGAGGGCAGAACCTGTATCTTTGAAGAGCTCAGTAATTGTCCTTCTCTGTATGTCAGATCCAACAGTGGGAACTGCAGCCACTCAACTACAATATTTAAATACAATAGGAACAATAGGATCCTGAGGTGGCAGAGGCCAAGCAGTGGCACTCATCCATGAGGTCTTAACTCAGGCATGGTGTAGAGTTGGTGCTCTGTACATATGTGGCGAATGAAGAAATGAAAAACTCAGGGAAATATCTACCAGCAACCATTATGCTTGAAACGAAATAATTTCCATTGTAACTTCCCCCTGTGTTTGTGGATGGGTGCTATGAAGTAAAGCTTAGCATAACCCAACAACCTAGGGCTTTTCTTTTCCTTTTTAAAATGTAATCCATTTCGTGAAATATTCAAGTCCATAGTGAACAAAGAGGAGCTTTTTGCCCTCTTTGTTATGTGTCTTTTATGGTGGTGTCTCTCATAGTTGTTATTTGTCTTAGGTATTCTTTCTGGCCTTAGTAATATGGATAATTTAGCCTTTCAATTAATGTTTTTTTATAAATGTCTGCCTTTGAAAATACTGAAATGTGTCAAAAATCTAAATATAAGAGCTGAAACCATCAAACTTTGAGAAAAAACTTAGAGGTAGGTCTTTATGACTTCAGATCTGTCAATGGATTCTTAGATATCACACTGTGAGCACGAAAAACAAAAAAATGGAAAAATGGGGCTTTATTAAAAAGAAATCAATAAATACAAATCAATAAATACATGTATTTATATATAACACATGAAATATATAAATATATATGAAAACATATATATATATATAGAAATACATTATCAAGAAAATAAAAAGCCTACACAATGGGAAATAATATTACCAAATTATATATCTGACAGGGGTCTAGTGGTCAGAATATATAAAGAATTATTACAACTAACAACATAAAACAAACTACCCCATTTTAAAAGGGGCAGGGGGCAGGTAAAAGAGTTGAATACACATTTGTCTACAGAAGAATACAAATGGTTAACGAATGCATGAAAAGACACTCAAAATCAGTCATTGGGAAATGCAAATCAAAACCATAATGAGTTAGAACCTTACAACCTCTAAGAGAGAGAGAAAGAATTTCAAGAGTTTGCAAGCATGTGGATTAGTTGGAACACTTATATGTTGCTGGTAGAGATGTAAAATGGTTTAGGCACTGTGGACAGCAGTTTGCAGGTTCCTCGAAAAGTGAGATAGAATTGGTGTATGATCATGCAAGGAAAATCTTTGGTACAAGCTCAATAGCACCGGAAACTGCTAACAAACAAGTACACATATATGAATGTTTATAGCGGCACAATGTATAATAACCCAAGGGTGAAAACAGTTGAAATTTTCATTAATGAATGAACAGATAAACAAATCATGATATACACATAAAATAGAATATTACTCAGTCATAAAAAGTAATAAAGTATTGATGTACACTGTGACATGGATGAACCTCCAGAACATTCTGAGTGAGAGAAGCCAGACACAATAGGCTGCACCTTGCATGATGCTGTTTGTATGAGATGTTCAAAATACAAAAGTACATACAGCCAGAAAGTACACTGGTGGTTACTTTGGGCAAAGTAGGAGGTTTGAGGAATGAAGGGCAATGGCTTAAAGGGTATAGGGTTTCCTTTTAAAACCCCAAAAATGCTTTTAGAGCCAGATAAAAGTAGTGGTTGCATAGTATTGTGAGTGGACTAAATGTCACGGAGTTATCTACTTCAAACAATGGTTAATTTTATATTATATGAACGTCATCTCAATAAAAAAGAGAAGTAAAACAAGAAGAGAAAATAAAAAAAATCTCAAAAAGGAGTAAAATAGAAAACAACTCATAAGACTGTAGATTTCAGCCAAATCATATAATACAGTAAATATCAGTGCTCTACACATATCAATTCAAACAAACAAATCATACCTGTTTCTAAAAGTAAAAGTGTAATTTCTACCTTCTATTTAGAGGATAGAAAATTAAAACTTCATCACTTCGATCCCAGAACCTATTCTGCATAATATGAAAATTTCTACATTTTCTTGAACAGAAAATCTAAGACAAGTCAGTCACCACCCAGTAGAAACGGTGCATAAGCACCTGCTTACCTGGGCAAGGACCACCAGACACCCATAAGAAGAATTCAGATAAAATGTATAACAAGTGGTAATGGCATAGTGTCAGCAAAAAAGAGACTATAAAACCTCTAGGGGCTGAGACAAGAGAAATTTAAATGCTTCAACAGACTCTTCTTCACAGACCTCACCAGGTATTGTCTTCACAATAAAGACTGACAAAAGTCTTGAGTAATCATTCCTGGCAGTTCAGGTCCAGCGGGGGGAAATCGCAGCCACTGTGGGAAAGTCACAAATCCAAGAGTGGCTCTTTTTCTTATGAAACACAACCTTAAAGATCTGGGGAAAATGCTGCAAACACTGTCACCCACTGAGTGGGTCTGAGTAAAAACCCTCTTCAATTGGAGAAAAAAAAAAAGTTGTCTAATCTTAGAGGATGATTAGGAATTCATGCTTAGCTTAGCACTCCAGGCGAAGATGGGGCAGGATTACTTAGAAGGCTTTTCTCCAGGGAGTTTGAGATTAGTGTCTGCCTAAAACTGAGGCTTAATCAGATTACAAGAACAGACTTCATCCTCCAACAACAGGCCAACCAATATCAAGTAGCCAGTAATAGCTTTTCGCTGTTGAAAGACAAGCAACAGAGTTAAGATAATCTCTGAGACATTGAGCAAATGGAAAGCATAAAGCTAAGAGTTGAGCAGATGTGGACAAAACCTCTTTGGCAGAGCAGCTGTTATAACAGGGAATATTAAAAGTATTTAAAGCTTCTGGAGTACCAAGAGTAACAATAACAAGAAAAAAATCTCAAATCTAGCTCAATTCCTGATAGACAGATACTCACCCCCAACATCAATGGCTTGTCAAAAGGAATGATTTGCTCATTTCCAAGCATAAAATATACTCACTTCAGTCTTTGTTGTTCTTCCAAGAGATCTAGATTTCAACAACAACAGTGAAAAATGATAAGACATTGTAAAAACAAAATAAACACAAAATTGCACAGACACACATATTAAAAGCTATCCACATAACAAACTGACCTAAGTGTTGAAATAGCAAAAATGTAATTTAAAGTAAGTATAATTAATATGGTAAAAGTTGTTGTGGAGAAGGTGGATACTGTTCAAAATTAGACTGGAAACTTCAGCAGAGTAATAAAAACTGTGAGGAAAAAAAAGAAGGAAAATGCAAGATTGGGTACAGTGGCTCTTACCCATAATCCCACTTTGAGAGGCCAAGGAGGGCAGATCACTTGAGCCCAGGAGTTCAAGACCAACCTGGGTAACATGGTGAAACCCTATCTTTACAAAAAAAAAAAAAAAAAAAAAATAGATGGGTGTGGTTGTGTGTGCCTGTAGTCGCAGCTACTTGGGAGGCTGAGGTGGGAGGATTGCTTGAGCCCGGGAGGCAGAGATTGCAGTGAGCCATGATCATGCCATTGCACTCCAGCCTGGGTGACAGGGCAAGACTCTGTCTCAGAAAAAAAGAAAAAAAAAACAAAAACCCTGAAAATTCTAGGAATAAAAAGCACAATAACAAAGGTGAAAAATACTTTTGATGGACTTCATCAGTCAATTCAATCAGCTACAGAAAGAATCAGCAAAATTGAAAATGGATGAAAAGAACTTGTCCTAACTGAAACCCAAGGCATGAAAAGATGGGTAGCTGGGATACCAGCAAACAACAAAACATACAATATAATCTAAGAGATGGGGACCTCCTCAATCTCTCTCAGTGTGTTAAGGATATAATTGGAATTTCAAAAGGAGAAAAGAGAGGAAAGTCAGAAGAAATATTTGAAAAAAATAGTAATTGAGAAATATAATGTATAACAGGTCCCCAACATTTTTGGCACCAGGGATTGGTTTTGCAGAAGACAATTTTTCCACAGACTCCGTGGGAGAAAGGGGGGATGGTTTCAGGATGAATCAGTTCCATCTCAGATCATCAGGCATTAGTTAGATTCTCATAAGAAGCATGCAGCCCAGATCCCTCAAGTCTGCAGTTCACAATAGGGTTCGCGCTCCTGTGAGAATCTACTGCCGCTGCTGATCTGACAGCGGGCACCTCCTGCTGTGTGGCCCACTTCCTAACAGGCCACAGGTGGATACTGGTCCACAGCCCGGAAGTTGGGGACCCCTGCTGCATAACACTTAGAGTATTACATGCACATTACTGGGAACAAAAGAGAAAAAAAAATTTGAAGTCAATCAGGGAAACAAAAAGACACATTATATCCAAAAGAATAAATAATGGAATTACAGCTAACTTCTCTTCAGATATTACACAAACCAGAGGAGAGTGGAATAAATCTTTAAAATGTGTAAGAGGAAAAACAAACTGTGTGTGTATTGGGGTGTTGGGGACGCAGTGTACTGCCAAACCAGAATTTTATTCCTAGTGAAAATATCTTTTAATAATAAAAAGAGACTTTATTTCCTGACAACGTAAAATAACAAGGAACAGTTAATACCCTCTCAGCTAAAACAATTTACAAATCAAAAAAATTTATGTAAGGCGATTTTTGAGACACTGTATATCAGGCAATAAAAGGAGAATGACCATGGAAATGAGGAACAAACAAGGTG
This sequence comes from Homo sapiens, assembly GCF_000001405.40. Classification (NCBI taxonomy): domain Eukaryota; kingdom Metazoa; phylum Chordata; class Mammalia; order Primates; family Hominidae; genus Homo; species Homo sapiens. The sequence continues at coordinate 136,517,492 of NC_000008.11, read as the reverse complement.
AGCAGATTATTGACCCAGTTTACTACACAGTTTCAAGGCTGTAGCACAGAGAAGGGGAATTTCAGGCAGAGCACGACAGACTCCCAGAGCTGAGACCGACCTGAAACTCAGAGAAGATCAAGGCAGTTAGAGTTCACAGGACAGAGCGTGAGAGAGAAAAGAGCTGCAGAGACAGAAATCTAGAGACTGCAGAGTGCCTCCCTTGGAGATTCAGCAGACTATTGATTAGGGCACATGTCTGAGGAAACAGCATGAGTCTGGGGAAAGTATCATCTAAATTAATTAGTCAGAAAAAGGCTTGGAACTCTCACAGCCAGAAATAGTGGTTGGTTTCACAAGCCGCACTAGAAATCCTCATAAATTATGAGACATTGCAGGGAATATTCAAGGAATTCTTGTCTCCATAGTGAGATATAATTAGTCCTAGACTAAACATACCCCTGTTACCAACTTCCACATATTAGAAGAATGGCCGAAAAAGATCACACTGTTTATAAATAAATTAATGACATGCCAAACAGAGTTCAATGACATTTATATAAATGTGTAAATATCTAGCCCCTAATAAGATAAAATTAGCAATGTCTGCCATTAAATTAAACTGTCATATACTCATACAGTGGAATATGGGTCAGTAATATAAAAGAATGATCTCTTGATACAAACAACAAAATCTCAAATTAAATATGCTGAGTTAAAGAGGCCAGACTACTCCTTCTCATTACACACTGTATTATTTTATCTCTATAAATTATAGAGAATATAAACTAATCCACAGCAAAAGAAGGCTGACCTTTGGCTTCACATGGACAGGAGGGAAATAGTAACAAAGGGGCAGGTGTACGATTTCAGGAGTGATAGAGGAATATTTATTATTTTGATTGTACTGGTGCTCTCATGACTACATACATAGATGAAAATGTACAGTTAATACATGTACAATTTGTTGTTTGTAAATCATACCACATTTGTTCAAAATTCATCTAAGAAAATATAAAGAAAAAGAATCAGAATTAAGCAGGAGCAAGATAACTCAGTTCCTTACATAATAAGATAAAAGAAATTTATACTTTATAAAAGATGAGGCCTTTGAAAGGTTTTTAAGCAGGGGAGTGACCCAGTCCCATTTCCTTGCTAGAAAGTCCACCAGAGATTGCAGTCAGGGTGGGAGAAGGTTGAATTAAGGACTCACCCATCATTCACATTTGTGCTGCCTGGGTCTTCAGTCTTTGTCGCCATGACTTCCCAGAAAGAAAAATGTACAACTTTCCAGCTGACTTGAGTTATGAATATGGATGTGTGCTCCACAGGCCAGCTCTTTGTTGCATGTCTAATGAGCAGAGCCAGCCTCCTGCAAAAGAAGAAAGAGCTGCACGTGCAGGTGGGAAGCTGGCCTGGTGATGGGGGCAGGTCCACTCCAGCTGCTTGCCTCAATAAATGTCTTCTCTCTCTTAATATTGGGCATGCGTGTGCTGCACCATCTCTTCTTTCATAAAAGATTATTGATTGATAGTCAATTGCTTAACCCTGTAAGGAAGTGGAATGAAACACATTGTATATTCACCATTGGAGAAGCAATATTTTGGAAATTTCTTAGTTTCAGATCTGTCAGGTGTCGGAGTATGATTACTTGCAGGAACGCACATTTTAAAAGTCAACATTTGATGCATCCTATCTTGTTTGCTAATTTCCATTCTTTTTAATTTTTTCTGATGAAAAACTATATTTCATCTGTACACAAATCCATGCATGGGCTCATACCTTTGCTCCTACCCTAGTTTTTGTGAGGTCAGGCATGGTGGTTCACACCTGTAATCCCAGCACTTTGGGAGGCTGAGGAGGGTGGATCACCTGAGGTCAGGAGTTCGAGACCAGCCTGGTCAACCTGGTGAAACCCCGTCTCTACTAAAAAAAATAAAATAAAATAATTAGATGGGCATGGTGGCAGGCACCTGTAATCCCAGCTACTCAGGAGGCTGAGGCAGGAGAATCTCTTGAACCCAAGAGGCGAAGGTTGCAGTGAGCTGAGATCACGCCATTGTACTCCAGTCTGGGCAACAGAGAGAGACTTTATCGCAGAAAAAAAAAAAAAAAAAAGAGAGAGAGAGAAATGCCTTTTCATTTTTTACCCTACATTTCTTCTGTAAAATTTTACCCTGATTTTCCCAAGCCACAAGATGTACTTGTCATTAATAAATTGTCCATCTCTTTATGACTACATTAATAAATATTTATCAAACATATACTATTTCCCTAATATTTTTCCAGTCACTGAGAGTGAGACAATGAAAAAATATAGAAAAGTAACAACCCTAAAGGTGTTTATAATTTTCTGAGGAAAAAGAGAAAATAAAAACGGTAATAAATAGCATATGTAGTATATTAGATTGTGAAAAGTGCATGCAGAAAAAACAAAACAGGGCCTAGTATTGTGGCTTATGCCTGTAATCACAGTACTTTAGGAGGCCGAGAGAGGGGGGTTGCTTGAGGCCAGGAGTTTGAGGCCAGCCTGGGCAATATAGTGAGACTCCATCTCTACAAAAAATAAATATATAAAAAATAAAATAGGGAAGGATAATGAGAAGTGCTGGGTCTGGGTTGCAGTTGAAAATATGGAAGTGAGTAAGAGTGACAGTTAAAATAATAATTTGAACAAAGACCTAGGATTGATTGAACTGTGTGGGTATATGCATAAAACTTTTCCAGGAAGTGGGAAACAATTGCAAAAACCCAGGTGTGGGATCACAGTGAATTTCTTTGCAGAAGAGCAAGAAGGCAGCATTGCTGAATTAGAGTGAGGGAAAGAGTGAGTGGTGATAGACTGTGAGAGGCATGACAGACCTTTGCAAGGATTTGGGCCCTTTTATTTTTTTCTTGGATAGACTATATTCGCAGAATAGTTTTAAGTTCATAGTACAATTGAGAGAAAGGTACAGCAATTTCTGATATACACCCTGTCTCACACATACATAGCCTCCTTCATTGTCAATAGAATTTTGATTCTTACTGTGTAAAGAGTTATTTGTGTATTTATGTATGTACTTTTCTATTTATAAGAAAGAGCTTACAGGATCAGGCTTCCTTAATCTGGCTGAAGTGTTGAGTACAGTCCAAAGTGGATACAGGGCAGATCGCTACTGAATTAATATTCCAAACCTGAGCAATCTCCAATCAGATTATTTGAGAGATGATGATGGTTTAGATCAGGGTGTTTGCAATGAAAGGATTGGTCAAATTCTAAATATTTTTGAAATATACTCAATCCAGTTTGCTAACAGATTAGGTGAAGGCAATGACACAAAGTGGAATCAAGGAAGGCTCCAAGGGTTTATCCTGAACATGCAGCAGGATACAGTTTATATTAAATAAAAAAGCGGAGTGCAGGAAGGAAGGGCAGGCTGGAACCAAAATACCCAGGGCTTGTTTTTGGACATACTAAGAGTTGACAGATTAATGTCCAACTGGAGATAGTCAGTAGGCTATATGAGGATGCATTTTGGAATAAGAGTCTAGTATGGAGATAAGAATTTGAGTCAATAATAATGGTATTTTAAGTTGTGAATACAAACTACAAAATTGAAGGAAGGAAACTGAAGTGCAAAAGAGACCAAAAACTGAGTGTTTGGGTGCTCCAACATTAACAGATCAGGAAGATGAAGTCCAAGCAGGAGAGGGGAATTAGAAGGAACAGCCAGTGGTGCAGGAGGTAAATTAGAACAATTCCTTATCCTGGAAGCCTGCAGGAGAGACTTTTTCAAGGGATGAGACAGTACTGTCAAATGCTGCTGATCTGTCAGGAAGAAAAAGCACTTGGAATGGAAGATTAGATTGGTCTACACGGTCATTAGTGTTACCTCCATAGCAAGTTGGCCTTTATAATTTGGTCACATTACTCCTCTCCTCATTCTGCTAGAATCTGACTCTACCATATCATATAGTCTTAGACTTTTTACTTAAATTTGAAAAGTTTCCATGTCTTTATGTACAGAAAAAAAAATGGTAGCTACATTGTAGAGTGATTATGTGAGGATTAAATCATATAAATCATGTGAAACATTTAGAATCAGGGTTGGCACAAAACAAGTGCTCTTTAAACATTAGTTGTACCTATTGCTATTATTGCTGGAGAATAAGATATTTACAGCATGGTATAGATTTTTGTATCCCTGGAATATAGCAGGGTGTCTGGCACATAGTAGGTACTCAATAAATGAAAGACTGAAATCCTCAAATGTCTTTACTATTTCTTTAATCCCTCTGGTTCTCTATTCTTCTTTCTTAATTGAGAAATGGAACTGGAAAAATCATATACTTAAAACAATTAAGTGGATACGTGTTAATATTACCTTAATAGAAAGTGACAAAATCAGTAGTCATCTAAAAAAATTGTCATGTGAACAAATCAATAATAAAGACTAATAATCATTGCAATTAAATAATTTCAAGAGCATTTTTATATTTATTGTCTTATTAAATTCTCATACTCACTGATGATGTTGCTAATATTGTCTTTTAGCATCAGGTCATCTAAGACAGGACTTTTACTCAAAAATTACTCAAATTATATTATTGAGACTATATTATTTCCAAGAATTAAGCTACACAACTATTAGTTATTCTATTTCACTGAATACTCATGGAGAATTAATGAAATTATATCAGGTTTTTCATGATTTATCTATAAGTGGGAATCTCAAGGTTCTCATATTCTACTCAAAACAGCTTACAGCATAGTCAAGATTTGCAAACTCAGAATTCCTGACCTGAGGTTAGGTAAAGTTATTATTTCTCATCTGAGACTTCTCAACTCCAGAGATACACGATTCCAAAGAGATTAGAGAAAATTTGAAAGGTATCAATATTTGAGGAGTAGAACTGGTGCCCAAGTAATCGAGTGGGCCTGTGCAGGCAGCATTCACGGATTTTAGAACCACGGAGACAGGTGCTGCCCTGGGAATGACTACTGTTGGAGTAAATACAGTTCAAGGATGAATAAAATGTGAGAGATGAAACAAGTCCTGGGATATAACTCAAACTTGTTGTAAAAACGGACCTGCACTAGAACCTAAGAAAGACAGAAGTGACTGCTAATGCCGTTGTTTGCTGTTCCCTGGTGCATTCCCAGGAGACATCAGTAATGGCGTGCCTTGTATAAACATCTTCTCCGCCAGAGGCGGTCACAGAGCTTTTGTTGTGACTCATTTTCTTCTAATTTAAAGCAAGCGTCATCTTTTACCTCCATTCTTGCTGCTTACTGCATTTCAAAGTAACTCTAGGCTCCCCGATCTGGTCAAATAACCAATCCCAAAGTCCCATTCCTGAATATCTATTGCTGGAGTCTATGAACCCACGCTTACAGCCAATCTGCCAGTGGTACTTCTGCTGCTGTTCCTGCTGCTGGTACCAAAACACTCCTGCTGAACAGGGTCCCAGGAACCCACAGGGGTGCTATTGCTGCTGAAATCACTAACAGTGATGCTGCGGCTGATGCCAAAGTTGCTGCAAAGAGCCTGGAGCTGCCTCCAGCTGTTGCTAGTGATAGCAAAGGCACAACCAGAAGCTGGGAGAAATAACCTCCTCTCTCCGCCTTCTATCTTCCCATCAATTCGTCCCATTGGCAGAACCTGGGGAAAATATTAAAAGGCTTCTAGCTCGCTGAAATTGAGAAAACACAAAAATATGCAAATGAAACTAAGGATCACAGACTAATAATAATCACAATGGTTAAACAAGGCTAGTTTAATTCCTTGCACCACCGTCACAATGGTTAAACAGGGCTAGTTTAATTCCTTGCATTGGTACCTTTTGGTATCACTACTTTTTAAAAATTTTTGTGCAATACTGAGAACCTCAGTCATCTATCCCAGATTTGCCAGGAAAATATAGAATGCTAAATTAAATTTCAATTTCAGGTAAACAATGAATAATATTTTAGTATAAGTAGTATCCATAAAATATGGCATATGTCTGTGTATTATACATATATAATATATACATAGTAAGTACATACATACACATACAGTCCAAATACTGCATTAAACATTTACACTAAAAAGTATTCATTGCTTATCTGAAATTCAAATTTTAACTGGGTGTCTTGAATTTTAATTTGCTAAATGTTGCAACTCTATCCCTTAAGGATACATGAGGATTACATAAGATAGTGATTTGCTCATACATTCACTACAGCATTTTGCACAAAACTTCTTTCTCTCTCTCTCTTTCTCTGTTTCTCTTTCTCTCTCTTTCTCAACGGTGACATTTAGTTGCAGAGATTACGTACTTACCAGTATTTAAGTACCTATGTGTGCAAGGCACTCAGAAACACTGAAGACAACAGGTGGTTACTATAACACTTGTCCTCTTGATTCAGAATTGAAATACTCCTTATCTCACCTGCTCAGAGCATTGAAAGACGCTGAATCTTAGCTAAACCCCTCCTGAAAAATTGCCTGGAGCCAAAGAGAGTTGCCTTGCCCAAGTCATGGCCCCTTCTAGGGGTGAAGCTGCTACCCAACTTAAATGACTGGGTCATGCAGGGGTACCCGAGCCTGGTTTCTTTGCCTCAGCACAGAGTCATTCTTAAGGGACATCCAGCTTCAAAGCTCCCTGTGGAATCAGCTGAGGTCTTTGTTATGACTTTCTCTGACCAAACTCTCCCTCTGCTAAACCATGTTTTTCTACAATATGTCTTCTTACACTTTAAGCATGAGAATGACAGCATCGGTTTCCTGAGGAGTCGAATGTACAGAAGTGACTATGCTAGTACTGACCGCCTTATGGGTCATAAACAGCCTATTTTGACTGCAAAACAAAATAGCTTTAATTTAAAATCTATTATGCGCTCGTTCCTCATTGCTTCTTCAGCTCATATTGGGAGCTCAGTGCATGGTTATTGAATGATTATTGAATAAATGATTGGATGAGTAAATTAATGATGTCTATAAATAAGGGGCAGCCACAGAGTAGAAGTTCAATAAAATATTAACTTCATCCTACTGGAAGAACATTTTGTAAATCAAGGAATTTCCACTAAGTAAAGATTCTGTGTACCACTTATAAATTTATGAAATTTCTCTATCTTGGCTTAAACCTAAAACCTCTTTGGGAAGCTAACTGAACTGTGTTTCTATAGTACTGCAAAATTGTATCTTTATTGGCTGAAAGGTAAAGTATAACAGAAAAATGTGAGAGGATACAAAAAATGCATGCTTTGTGTTCTTCCATTCTCCCTAATATTCCAATATGCTGCTTTGGCACCCTGGCTAGATTTGAGACACCTTGAGACTTTATAGAATGATCAAACCTTCATTCTACCCCTTGATAGAAATTACTGTAAGTTGTCATGATATTGAAATTTCAGTGCTAATCACAAATATCAATGGGCAGATTATTCTTCAACTTGCTGCATTTGATGCAGACTTATCTTGAAACATTCTACTGCCTTTTATACTGCGTTCTGCCTTATTATCTTGCTTGCTTGATTATAAGTTTCTGATATACACAACCCCTGCACAATTCTTAAATATTGGTATTTCTGTTGGAACACATTTTCTTCTAACTCTACACACTCTTCCAGGGAGACACCATTCATACTCTGACCACTTTTATTCCATTACTCACAGATCTGTTTAGATAGATCAGAATCATCCCAGAAGCTGCAGATTCATTTACTTAATATATTGCTATAGATCTCTATGGGTATGTCTTATGCATACCCCCAGGAAGTATATGAATCTACTCTCTCCTCCACCTGTACAACTCAACTCCCCAACTCTCCATTTTCTGCTTTCTTTTACACCTATTTAAATTAGATTTGTCATTACTCACCAAATTTACACATGGTATAATTGACATTTTGTGGTACAGTTGTATGAATTATAAAATATTTATAAATTTGTGTAAACACAACTCTAATGAGGATACAGAACAGTTCAATCACCCCAAGAAATTACATCATGCTGCATCTATTACTGCAAATCCTCACACCATACCCCTTTGAACCCCAACCCCCAAAAAACACTGTCATTTAAATGTAATAACAGTATGTAACATACGTATGTAGTCACTGAGTCTGATTTATTTCCCTTTGCAATATGTCTTTGAGATTCATCTATATATCAATAGCTTGTTCCTTTTTATCATTATTTAGTATTCAATTGCATAAGCCTACCATAATTTATTTACTCATTCACTCATTAAAAGATGTTTGGGTTGTTTACAGTTTTGGCAGTTAAGAATATAGCTGCTGTAACATTTTGTAGAAGATTTTGTGTAAACATAAGCTTTTATTTATTTTAGGTAAATACCTAGAAGTGAAATTGCTGGTAATACAAAAACTCTTTGCTGACATTTATAAGAAACTGTCAAACTACTTTCCAAAGTGACTCTACCATTTTACATTCCTACCAGTGACATACCTGCACACACAAGAATATACAAAGTGGGTTTCTTTCAGACAGCATATCCTCTGATCTTGTACTTTTTCTTTGCATTTTAGTTTTTTTCCCGTAAATGTCAGAATTTTAATTGAAGTGTTTGAATAAGAGCTCTAGCTGCTTCACATCTTTGCCAGCAATTGATACTGTGATTTTAAAACTTTAGTTGTTGTTTGTGATTCTTATAGGTATGCAGTGGTATTTTATTCATTTTTTCATTGCGTTTCCCTAATGTCTACTGAAGATAAGCATATTTTCCTGTGCATATTTGTCATTTCTGTATCTTCCTAGGTGATATGTTTGTTTACATATTTCGCTAATTTTTATTTTCATTGAGTGGTTTGTTTATTGTTGAGTTTTGCGCGTTTTTTTAAACAAATTCTGGACATGAATCAATTGTTGAGTATTTGGTTTGCAAATATTCTCTCTCAGTCTGTATCTTGTGTTTTCATTCTTTTAACTGTGTTTTTCACAAGGCAAATATTTTTTATTTTAATGAAGTTAATTTATTAATATTTTATTTTTTAATTGTAAATTACTTAGAATGCATTATTTAATTCCCATGTTTCTAGAGTGTATTAGTCCATCCTCACACCACCATAAAGAACTATATGAGATGGGGTAATTTATAGACAAAAGAGGTCTAATTGATTCACAGTTCCACAGGCTGTACAGGAGGCATGGCTGAGGAGGCCTTGGGAAACTTACAATATTGGCAGAAGGGCAAAAAGGAAGCAAGCATATCTTCACATGGCAGCAGGAGAGAGAGAGAAGGAGCTAAGGGGAAAGTGCTACACACTTTCAAACAACCAAATCTTGTGAGAATTCACTCACTATCATGAGAACAGCAAGGGGAGAAATCTATCCCCATGATCCAGTCACCTCTACCAAGTCCCTCTCTCAACACTGGGGATTACAATTGGGGATTCCAACATGACATTTGGGTGGGGGCACTGAGCCAAACCATATTTTAGAGGTTTTATAATTAACTTTCTGTTATTGATTTGTATTACAGTTTGCTATGATGAGAATAGATACATTTATTGTTTTAATTAGTTTTGTTTTATGACTTTGAATACGGTCTTTGTAAATATTTCATGTGCATTTTATAAGAATATGTATTTTGCTATCGTTTAGTGGGATGACTTATAAATGTTCCCTAAATCCAATTTGTTGATGGTTTTGTTCCATTTTCTATATGCTTGCTGATTTTACAACTATGTGAATTATTTTATTAATTATTGAGATAAATATGCTGAAACCTCTAACTAGAAATTCTATTTTTTTCTTTCAGTAAAATCAGTTGATTTTTATATATTTTTATTTTTAGGTGCCTTTACATTTAGAATTGTTGTATGTTCTCAGTGAATTTACTGTTTAAACATTATATAACATTTATCTTTATGTCTAGTAATTTTTTCTTTCTCTGAAGTCTACATTGTCTGATGTAGACTTGATGTAGACTTAATATAGACTTAATTTAAACTTTCCAGGTTTCTTTTGATTAGTGTTTGCATAGTATATTGTTTTTGAACTTTTACTTTTAACTAGCACATACAATAATATATGAAGTGGGTTTCTTTTAGACAGCATATCCTCTAGTCTTATGTCTTTTGTTTGTTTGTTTTTGTTTTAAGTTTTTTCCGGAAAATGTTTAAATTTTAATAGTTTTTGCTTACATTTAATGTAAATTACATGTTTGCATTCATGCCTGTCATTTCACTATTTGGCTTCTGTTGATTCCCTCTGATTTTAATTCCTCAGTTTCTCCTTTTCTGCCTTCTTTTAAATGCTTTCAATAATTATTAGTATTATATTTTAATCCATCTATTAATTTTCTACTATATCTTTGAGTAAAATTTTCATTGAGTTTTTTAGTGTTTACATTATATATTTAATTTTTCACAGTTTACTTATAATCAATACTTCACTATTCCAGATAGAATACTTATCACCATATAGGTGACTTTACCCTCTCTTCTTACGTTATGGTTGTCACATGTATTTCACCTGCATGCATTGAAAACCCCATCAGACAATATTATCTTCTTCTGGACAAAGTTTAGACTTTTGGTATTATCACGCATGACTCAGGTTCTGCTTGTTTTTTTTTCTCAAACTATTGTTCTCTCTCTTTCTTCCAATCAGGTAGTTTAAATTGTTCTACCTTCAGTGGGTAATTAGCGATATTATGAAATCATTTTCTGAGACAAATTGTACTTGCAGAGGAGTTACATATAAATCATGTGCATAATTTTAACATTATTGTGTTAGTCTGTTTTCATGCTGCTGATAAAGACACACCTGAGACTGGGAAGAAAAAGAGGTTTAATTGGACTTACAGTTTCACATGGCTGAGGAGGCCTCAGAATCATGGCCGAAGGCAAAAGGCACTTCTTACATGGTGACAGCAAGAGAAAATGAGGAAGAAGCAAAAGCGGAAACCCCTGATAAACCCATTAAATCTCATGAGACTTATTCACTACCATGAGAATAACAAGGGAAACACTGGTCCCCATGATTGAATTACCTCCAGCTGAGTCCCTCCCAAAACACGTGGGAATTCTGGGAGATACAATTCAAGTTGATATTTTGGTGGGGACACAGCCAAACCATATCAGGTATGTAGCTGGAAATAACAATGAGACATCTAAATATAGATATTGTTTTAAGTATAGAAAAGAGCTTAGGACTACAGATAAAGCTATTGGAGTATGAATGACATTCTACGTGACGATTTGGATGAAATTCTAAGGGGAGAGCACAGCATATAAGAACTGTGGTCCTGCATAAGCATTAGGCGTTTATATTGAAACATTTAAAGTTATATGAAGTTCCAATCAGAATTTTAAGAGGAAAAACAGTAAGCAGCAGAAAATGGTGGCATAGAAGCTACCAAATAAATAAATAAACAAGCAAACAAAAGCTAACAGAAAAAGAGAGAATGTTCCTTAAATGAGGGAGAGATTCACATTTGACACATAACCTGGCCATTCAGACCAGATACTGTCTCCCACCTTACTCTGTCTTCTTGGCTTAACATAAATTCCTCGAAATAACCACAATATTCATTATGATTATGGAACTATTGCCTGAGGCCCCCTAAATTAGCTTCACTTTTCAATTCAGGACAGTTTCCAGAACTCCTAACCTTCACAGGGACCCCCTTGAGTGATGCCTTTCTAAGCTCATACAGAACTTGAAAATGGGATTCAGGTAAAAAGGTATGCTTTTATAACAGTGGAATATCAGTCAGAGGGCAAAATGATTGAATAGCAGTGGTGCTGGAATGAGCTTTCACTGGCTCAGAAAAGCCAAGTGTGCACATCTCTTTGCCGATGCTGTGTTTAGATATGTCACATTGGTGACTTGAAATTGTCTTTAAGTAGTATTTGCCACCATAGAAATCAATGAGCGCCATGAATCTTAGCTTTCTTTTTCTTTTCTTTCTTTTCTGTTTTTTTAGGGGTGATACAGGCTGACTTATGTCTCCATAAAGTTCATATATTGAAGTCTTAACCCCCAGTACCTCAGAATATTACTGTATTTGAAAGCAGTCTCTTTCAAAAGGTAATTAATTTAAAATGAAGTCACTACGGTGGGCCCTAATTCAATGTAACTGATGTTTGTTTAAGAAGGGGAGGGACACAGACATACAGGTGAGAGACCATGTGAAGATGAAGTGAGAAGACAGCCCTCTACCGTCTAAGGAGAAAGCCCTCAAAGAAACCAACCTTGATGGCACCTTGGTCCTTAGACTTCTCACCATCAGAATTGTGAGAAAATAACCATCTATTGTTTAACACATCATGTCTGCACTAGTTTGTTGTGGCATCCTTAGGAAACTTATACAGAGAGTAAGTTATCAAAGACTGGTCAGCATATCACTACCAAAGAAACTAAAAATTAAAAACCTTCAAAAGGAATGAAAATGGCTCGCATGTTAATAAATAACACGTATAGCTTTGAAAACATTATTTCACATTTATTGAGAGCTTGTTACGGGCCACCTGCTCTGCTCAATGTGAACTATCACATTAATGGCAGTACAGCTCTCCTCGACAATGGCAGAGGTGTGTGGGATTTGAGGTGGGGTAAAGGTAGGAGTTCAGGGTGTGGTAGCAGAAATATCTAAAGACAGTAAAATTAGTTCTTATCCTTTCTTTTTGTTCACCTGCTGTGCAACCTGAGACTATTCACTATACTTTGTAGTCCTCATTTTTCTTCTCTACAAAATGGAATAGTGTGATTTGATGAGGCTGGCACCACAGGTCCCTTAAGAGTGCATTTGGCTTTGTCATATTTAAGTTTCTATTTCCATGAACTTAAACAAGGAGACAGCTATGAGTAATGCCAAGTTCAGGCAAAAGGTATGGGGCTCCCATGGGGTTTACAGATAATAACAAAATCTATAAAAATATGTATGAGCACATATTGGGAAGTAATATGAAACAAACAAAAAACAAACCCATTCTTCATCACAGGGAAAAGCAGCTGTTGAATTCTCTCCCTTTACTCAGCACCCTCTCACTTAACTAGCACTCCTGCATCATTAACCAAATGTTGAGCCACTCACAGAGGGAAAAGGATAATTTTGTTCGTTCCCTTGAGGAAGATTACTGTCACCTAATGCCTGGTTCTCCAGATTGCATTTCTGCAGCAACCATCTCCCAGAGCAGTAGTTCTTGGTTGTTCCACTGGACTGCAGGAAAATAATCTATCTTTACTTTGTAGCAACCATGACCTCAGTCACTGGGATTACTAGAGTTCTATGAGAAGACAATGTATTTTTTTCAACTATACACCATTTCTTTGAATGATGCCTGTCTCACAGTGTTATTCTGTCAATTATATCAGAGATTTGTTGGTTAGAAAACATTCCACAGGTGTGTGTGTCTGTGTGTGTGTGTATATATCCTTTTTATTTTGGTTGAGCCTGCTTCTGAAACTATATTCCTTCTAGTTTGCCTCTAGAATTTCATCCATAGGTTATTTTAGCCTCCTAAGACTATGAAATTGGATTCCAATCTTGTGAACACTGCCATCTAAGAATTTTTAGTACTTTTTTTTTAATTTTAGGTCAGATGCAATGACTTCTGAGGACAACTTGTCTACTTGCAACAATTCTAGTTGAATCCAAAGGAAGAGTCACTAACATTCATTTTCTAATGGAATAAATATTATAAATATAAATGGAAAGACTATTATAAATCATTTAATCACTTTATCTATCTCTCTACCTACCTACCTACTTATCTATCTACTTACTTACCTATATAGTTATCCTTTATTTTCTACCATATTCAAGTCACCATTTTATGTCTTCATCATATAAAAATAAATATGCAGACATCACTGTTTGCAAACAAATTGAACTCTATTAAAAGTATTAATTGTATAAATAATGACATGCCCAAGCTATTTATGCAAAAAGAGGAGCATATGTCCTTTTATGCCACAAAGAAGTGATTTCTTGTCTGTATTATTTGGATGGGTCAAGTAAGACTTCCCAAAGATATGCCAGGCTTTTCATTAGATTCAGAGTAAAATGTAATCACAGGAAATAGTATATGTAGCAAAATATTCCACTTTACAGATGAATACCAAAAATATCATGATGCAAACATATAAAAATACCAATGGTATCAAGAAAATCTGGGTTCAAATTCCAACCCTGTCATTTAATACCTCTTAATTTATGTTACATTATTAGTAAGATAGTTTTCCCTCCCACAATACAGTAAGTATCACATTCTCAGGAAGTGGGAAAATAATATCCAACAAGATGGCAATGTGGTATAAATCTCTGGAATACTATTTATAGACCACCTTAGCTCTTTTTGGTACTGTAGATGTTGCAAGATGAGTAACTACCCTTAAGCATTTGGGGAAATCAGGATGTCTTTCATTTTTTTGTCCTTGGTTCAATTTATTCCTGCAAGCTACCTCTCCACAGCAACCCCTCTCTACAGCGACCCACAACCCCATTTTTCTAGCAAATTTCCTTGATAGATAAAGCTTCTTTCTTACATCTATTGAGAACATAGGGATGTAGTCAAGCCCATTCATGCAATGTTGGAAGCAAAGAACTTGTGAGAGCTAAATCGTGGCTCCTCCCTCCTGTGACACCATACTCTGTGTGGTGCACGGCATTACTGTCCCTAATTCTTCCTTTATATAGCTTTTAATACTGGTTTTTCATCTTCTCCCACAAAAGGAGCGTAGCATGTTTTTCTATCCATTGATGATGAGTTTGAGCATGCGACTTACTTTGCCAGTGGTATATAAATAGACATGTACCTGAGTAAGGCCACTAGTATTTCTACAATAACTGTAAGAACACATCCATGCTTCCTGGTACAAGGAAGCAAATGAGAAAGGCTGACCAGACCAAGTTTTTTCCATTTAGCTCATCAGAGCACAACCTGAATCAGTGAACTCCAGCCAACATGCAGATCCATAGAAAATGTTTTTTGAACTTCTGAGATTCCCTGGATGCTTGTTACTTAGCATTATCGTGGCAATAGATAACTGATACACTCCCCTATGACTGTGAGTATGATGAAGTTCCCTAAAAATATGTGGACCAGTCTCAGAATATATTTTCTCTCATCTGTCCAACCTTTAGAGTTTAACCTACTTTAATCATTTTCCAACCTCTGGCTCAGAAACCACATATGTATTTCTATTTGTCCCAAAATGCTTATGTTTCTAACTTGCCATTCATGTATGTATGTCATCTGAGTCTACCCAATTAATATATTCCGAGTATCCTAGGATGTGTCAATCGGAAATCACTAAAGGGACTACAGGCATAAAAAGGATAGTAAAACATAAATTACCAAACAGACTCAAGAAGAAATAGAAAAATATGTACAATTCTATGATTACTAACATTAATTCGTAACTAAAAACATTTTCATAAATTCAAATTTTGGATATGGAATGCTTCACTGGATAATTCTATGAAACATTTAGGAAAGAGATAATACATCCTTATGCATCATTTTCAGAAAGTAGAGATGCAGCAGATGGAGAAAGACATATCCCAAATCATCTAATGAGCCCATTATTATGCTCTTAACAAAATCAAAAAACAAACTACAAGATACCTCTGTGTAGTATGAAAAAAATTTTTTTAACTACAAGAAAAAAATCAACAAATATGTGTCATAACCATATATCTAAAAATTCTTACCCAAACGTTATCACATTGAGCAATGTGATAACAAATGCATAACAAATTTATAAAACAAAGCAATGTATAACAAATTTAACTTCTTCTGAATGGTCAATAGAGTGTCTTAGTCCGTTTTATGTTACTATAAAGAAATACCTGAGGCTGTGTAATTTATTTTTTAATGGTTTATTTGGCTCAGAGTTCCACTACCTGAAAGATTGAGTACCTAGTTAAGGCTTCAGGCTGCGTCCACCCATGGTGGAAGGCAAAGGGGACCCAGGGTGTGCAGACCTCATGCAGCAAAAGAGGAAGCAGGGGGAGCAGAGGAGGTGCCGGGTGATTTTTAACAACAAGCTATCTTGAGAACTAATAGAGTGACAACTCACTCACATACCACCATCAAGGGGAGAATGTAATCTATTTATGAAAAATCTGCCCCCATGAACAAAACATTTCCCATTAGGCTTCACCTTCAACACTAGGGATAAAATTTCAACGTGGGATTTGGAGGGGATGAACATTCAAACTATAGCAAGAGTTTTTCATAGGAATGTAAGGTTTATTTGACTTGAAAATCAATCAATGTGACTTGCTCTTTTAACAGAACAAACGAGCAAAATAAGATAGTATTTTCAAAAGATGCAGAAAAAGTATTGGCAAAATTTAACATCCATCCATTAGAAAAGCCCTCAGTAAACTAGAAATAAAATGAAACTTCCTAAACCTGATAAGGGATATTTATAAAAAACCTTCAGATAACATAATCTATGATGAAAGATATTAAACTTCTTCTCCCTAATAACCTTATAAGCTAGATATAAAAAGTCATCTTTTACTATTTTTATTTAATATTATACTGATAGTCCTGGAAAATGCAATGAAGCAAGAAAAAACACAAAATGCAAACTCAGAAGAGTCAAATAGTCATTCAATGGGTGTAAAGATTAAATTATACAAGACAATTTAGTTCTAGAGTTCTCCTGTATAATATTATGCATATGGTGAACAACAATGTATTATATATTACTAATTTTAAGATAGTAGATCTATGTTAAGTTTTCTTATCACAATATAGACAGATGGATAGATAGATAGATAGATAGATAGATAGACAGACAGATAGATAGCAAAAGAGTTTTGTTTTCTTGGTGGGAAAAATGTTGATGTACGTAGTAACTCCTGAGGCATATACACAAAATGTTGTGAGCACTAATAAGTAAATGTGGCAAGATTGCAGAATACAAAGTGAAGCTAAAAATATTGCATTCCTATGCACTAGCAATAATAAATGCAAAACTGAATTAAAAGGAAAATACAACCCTTTACAATAGAATTTCTATTCTTAAAAACTTGGGATAAATTTAACAAAATATACATAAGACATGAAACTCAAAACTATAAAACATTGCTGAAGGTACATAAAACCCAAGCACATGGAAAATAGATCATGCTTTGAACTAGAAGACTCAAAATTATTAAAATGTCAATTCTCCTCACTCTTTTATATAGCTTCAATCAAAACTAGTCGAGTTTTTCAAAGTGTTCTGTGAAATTGGACAAGCTGATTTTAAAATGTATGTAGAAATGCAAAGAACATAGACTAATATAAAATTTTGAAAAAGAAGAATAAAGTTAGAAGACTCTCTCTGGTTTCAAGACTTACTATATATAGCTAAATTATAATAATAATGCTGTGTTGGTGTTAAGATAGGCACATTGATCAAGAGAACAGAATAGAAATTTCAGAAATAGACACATTTATGGTCAATTGATTTTGACAAAATTGCTATGGTAATAGCAGAAATAAGAGGTTTTTAAAATAAATGTTTAGAAACTAAATATTTGCACAGAGAAAGAAAATTTGAAGCTTTTAACTTCACAACATACAGAATAACAAAAAAAATTAAGATAGTGTCTAGCTCTGTCACCCAGGCTGGAGTGCAGTGGATCACAGCTCACTGCACCCTCGACCTCCTGGGTTCAAGCAATCTTCCTACCTCAGCCTCACAAGCAGTGTGGGACCATAGACACATGTCATCACAGCTGGCTAATTTTTTGATTTTTTTTTTTTTTTTAGAGACAGGCTCTCAATGCGTTGTACAGGCTTATCTCAAAGTCCTAGGCTTAAGTGAGCCTCCCGCTTTGGCCTCCCAAAGTGCTGGAATTGCAGGCAAAAAGAAAACACCTTGAAATGGATTATAGACCTAAGATAAAAGATATAATTAGAAAACTTCCAGATGCAAATATAGGAGAAAATATTTGCAATATTGTGGAGAGAAATAATTCTGTAAATGAAAAAGTAAAAGCATAACACATATAAAAATTTGTGAATTGTATTTCCTTAAAATTTAAAAATTTAGGCCTTCTAAAGTCATGGTTAGAAGGCAATCTGCAGAATACAGAAAATCATATACAATCCATATATCTAACAAAAAATTCATAACCATCAATAAAGAACACTTTCAAATCAATTATTAGAAGACAAATAATCCAATTAAGAAGTAGACAGAAACATACACTGCAGCAAAACCTATACTAATGTTCAATAATCATATTTAAAAATAGCATCATTGGTGATCAGGGAAATGCAATTTGAAACTACCATGAAAAACCACAGTATATCTACCAGAATGGCTAAAATGTTAAGGCCAACAATACAAGTGCTGATGAAGATGCAGAAGAATTGCAATGTTCACACATTGCTTTTTGTTAACGTAAATAATACAGCCACCCTGAGAAACTATTAGGCTGGTGTAAAAGTAATTGCAGTTTTCACCATTAAAAGCAATGTTGAAAACTGCAATTACTTTTGCACCAAACTAATGGCAATTTATTATAAAGTTAAGTGTACACTGAGCGTATGACCCTGTGATTCCATTCCTCTGTATTATTGAATTCTTCTATAGAACCGTGCTGAAGATCGCTCACATCTCCTTGACTCCCTGGAACTTCAGGCAATATAATGGTAGTGTCAAAAAGATTATTTTCACTCGCTTTCTTTGCTCCTTTTTGCTGTATGTACTAAAAAGAAAACGCAGTTGCTAATGGACAAATTAACATTAGCAAATGGAAAAAAAAGTCAGTGAACAAGGCAAATTTTCTAGCAAGCTTGAGAAAATGAATTCAAACTGGCCTCATGCCACCGAAAGTGCTATATACGTCTTAGTCTCCTGATTTTATTATGGAACAAGATGTTAAAAATTTGTCCTGTTCTGAGATTTTCTTTTCTAGGAGAAACTTGTATTTTCTGCTGAGATAATTCCTTTCTCTTTCTTCTTGTTTGTCTTCACCTTCACCTTCACATTCTTTTTCACCTTCTCTTTCTTCATCCTCACCTTTGTCTTCTTCAAATTCTATTGTTTAATATTCTTTTTCATAATCTTATCTATATCTAGATATCATATGTGTGCCAAAAGTGTTTTGTATTTTCCCTTCTTTCTGTTTTCATTACTTATATTTTACTATATTTTTATTTTTTATTAGATTATCCCACAATCTAAATTTCAACATTTAATTGCTATCTACATTCTATTAATATTATCTTCTAAATATTTAATAATATGTTGCCTCCACTGAAGAACCTCTTAATGATAGCCTATATTTTGGAGGTAAGACCTACATCTATATGTCAGCACAAGCCCTCTAGTTCTACCTTCTCAGCTGCTTATAATTTGCAACTCAACATCTTTATTTTTTTTATTTTTTGAGATGGAGTCTTGCTCTGTCACCTAGGCTGGAGTGCAGTGGCACAATGTTGGCTGACCGCAACCTGCACTTCCTGGGTTCAAGTGATTCTCCTGCCTCAGCCTCTCCAGTAGCTGGGCTCACAGGTGTGCACAACCACACCCAGCTAAATTTTTAGGGTTTCACCTGTTGGCCAGGCTGGTATTGAATCCCTAACCTCAGGTGATCTGCTCTCCTCGAACTCCCAAAGTGCTGGGATTACAGGCCTGAGCCACCATGCCCGGCCTCAACATCTTTAAAATACAATGTTTTATTTACAACCCAACAACACTTTTATTTCTTCATTCTTTGATACTCAAATGAGAATTAGGCATCCAGGATTTTGTTAGGAGGTAGAAAATTGTTCTTCACTAGGTTTAAACAGGACTTCTTTTGTTGTTTGAGTCGTTAGCACAATCAGATTTTTTATTCAACTTTCCACCAAGCAGTTAGAAGCTGTGAGTAGTCGAGGTAGCTTTGCCACTAATTTGCTGAGTAAGATGTCTGCTTACCTACCACTTCCATCTCTCATCATCTTCCTAAGAGTATCATGATTTTTAAAATATCTGTGTTTACCCTCTGTGTCCCACATGTCTCAGGGAAGGCAGACCTTTTCCCCAATTTCAGATCATTCTAAATAGCACAAATCCATTGCTATGGCCTACAATGTGACCAGGGACACTGGCTTAATCTCATCAACAATGCCCACAAGAAGGTAATTACATTTGCATTTAGGAAATAAGATCTACACAAATACATCTATTCTTATCCTTTAGTGCTGAGTATGGACTCAGGAGTAAACGTAAGTATGATTAAGGATGGAACAATAAAAGTAAAGGTATATCGATCAGATAACCAGATATTTTGTGTGTATGTGTGTTGTTTTTTTTTTTTGACATAAGCAGGAAGAATTTTGCTTTAAGTGCTGCTGGTAGCCACATTGGGATTATAAAAGACGACATCCTTAGTAAATGAACATGCTAAGGAGGACACAGGTCTAAGGTAATCACAAAGAAGAGAGGCAGAGATCTGAATATATTGTTTCTTTAGCCTTTAATAACTTTGGACTCCCTAGTATAATAAACAATATGTATCTCTCTTTCATTAAAGCCATTCATAGTTAAACTTTCAGTTACTCGCAGCCAAAAGCATTCTTATTATATGCACAGTCATCCTTTAATATTTGAGAAACATTAGTTTCAGGACTCCCTACAGATACAAAAACCCACAATGCTCAGGTCCCAAATATAAAATCACTTAGCATTTGCAAATAACTATGCACATCCTCCCACATAGTTTAAATCATCTCTAGATCACTTGTAATACCTAGTAAAATGTTAATTCTATGTACATAATTGTTATACCATATGATTTTTAAAATTTTGTGTTACTTTTATTGTTGTATTGTTTTTTATTTTTTCATATTTTAAAAATTTAATTTTATTTCTTTTTTGTTTTTTCCATTTAATATTTTATTTTAATTTCTTTGGGTACATAGTATGTGTATATATTTATTGGGTGCATGAGATATTTTAATATGAGCACACACTGTGTAATAATCACACCAAGGTAAATATAGTATCCATCACCTCAGGCATTTATCATTTCTTTATGTTATAAACATTCCAATTGTACCCCCTCATTTATTCTAAAATGTACAACAAATTGTTGATGACTGTAGTAACCCTATTGTGCTATCAAATACTAGATATTTTTCATTCTATCTGATCATATTTTGATGCCTATTAATCATCTTCATTTCTCACCCCACCAACCCTACTATTCTTCCCAGTCGCTGGTAACCATCATCAATCTACTCTCCACCTCCGTGAGTACAATTGTTCCAATTTTTAGCTCCCACAACTGAGTAAGACCAAATGAAGTTTATCTTTCTGTGCCTGGCTTATCTCACTTAACATGTCCTCCATTTTCATCCATGTTGTTGCAAATGACAGGATCTCGTTCTTTTTTTAATGGCTGAGTAGTTCTCCATTGTGTATATGTACCACATTTTCTTTATCCATTTGTCTGTTGATGGACACTTAAGTTGCTTCCAAATTGTGGCTATTATGAATGGTACTGCAATAAACTGATAAACATGGAAGTGCAGATATCTTTTCAGTATACTGATTTCCTTTCTTTTGGGTATATGCCTATCAGTGGGATTACAGGATCATATGGTAGCTCTATTTTTAGCATTTTGAGGAACCTCCAAACTGTTCTCCATAGTGGCTGTACTAATTTACATTCTCGCTAGCAGTAAGTGAGGTTTTGCCTTTCTCCACATCCTCATCATCACTCATTATTGCCGATATTTTGGATAAAAGCCATTTTAACTGAGGTGAGATGGTATTTCATTGTAGATTTTAATTGCATTTCTCTGATGATCAATGATGTCGAGCACCTTTTCATATATCTGTTTGCTCCAGATAGTTTTGATCTGTGATTGGTTAAATCTGTGGATGCAGAACCTGAAGATAAAGAGAGCCCACTGCAGTCTCCTCCAATAACTCTTCATGGTGCTTAACATTTTTTTTTTTTTTTTTTGAGATGGTGTTTCACTCCTGTTGCCCAGGCTGGAGTGCAATGGCACGATCTCGGCTCACTGCAACCTCTGACTCCCGGGTTCAAGCGATTCTCCTGCCTCAGCCTCCTGAGTAGCTAGAATTACAGGCATGCGCCACCATGCCTGACTAACTTTGTATTTTTAGTAGAGACGGGGTTTCTCCATGTTGGTCAGGCTGGTCTTGAACTCCCGACCTCAGGTGATCTGCCTGCCTCGGCCTCTCAAAGTGCTGGGATTACAGGCGTGAGCCACCGCCCCCAGCCACAACATATTAATAGCATATTATCTCTCAGGATATGGCCCTTCTTCACCTCCACGACTATATCTTCAACCTCTCTTTCTGCTATTCTTCACCAAATATATTATACGTTGGGTAAGCCAAAATTATTTTTATTATAAAGTAGATTTCAAGCCATATTTTCTCTAAAGTTATATCTAACACAGACAGACACAATCCTTTTTCTTCAAGTCCAGATTTGCTTACATATCTTAACTTCACCTAAGCCCCTATGATAACCCTAACTTCTTTATATATTTGCTACCTGATATGGTTTGGCTGTGTCCACAGGAAAATCTCACCTTGAATTATGATAATCCCCATATATCAAGGGTGGGGACAGGTAGAGATAAATAAATCATGGGGCAGTTTACCCTATACTGTTCTTGTGGTAGTGAATAAGTCTCATGAGATTTGATGATTTTATAAATGGGAGTTCCCTTGCACAAGCTCTTTCTTGCCTGCTGCCGTGTAAGCGGTATCTTGCTTCCCCTTTCCACAGTGATTGTGAGGCCTCCCCAGTCATGTGGAACTGTGAGTCAATTAAATCTCTTTCGTTTACAAATTACCCAGTCCTGGGTATGTCTTCATTAGCAGTGTGAGAACAAACTAATACACTATCCTCACCAGACTGTGAAAATCTTGAAGGGAGACTTGTTTCTGTAAGAATCCTTGTGACCCTAGAATCTAATATTGTTTCTAACATAGTGACTATTCTCAAACTGTTACTTGGATGAACTAAAAGACCAACTTCTAGCTACCAGACAGCCTATAGATTAGAAAATTTAGGGATAGAAAATATGCATTTTATTTTGTATGAATTCTTGGATAAATATTCTTTTTAATGCAAATGATTCAAAAATGAATCATAACAAATTTTACATTTTAGGGACTTTCCCAGTTTATAATATGTTGTTTTATGAACTGTCCTATTTCACTCTTAACTAATCACTTAATAAATACTTATTGAGTCAATACTATGTGCCTGGAATTGGGCTAGGTTCTGAGGATATGATGTTGAACACACATGCAGTAATTTTTTAAAAGAAAAAGTAAATCAAACGTTCACATAAACTGGAAAAGTTCCGTAAAATAGAATTACACCTGCTAAAATTCCTATATAAAACGGCCTGTTAACCCAGTGAAGGAAGTTAGGAAAGGCTTTTCATGAACTGAGATTTTTAATGGTGAATAAGACTGATAACTAGGCCAACAGGTGATAATGTTCTTGAAATATTCTGGACAGAATGTTCTGGAAATGGTGTTCCTGAAATAAGGATTCATTATGTACAAATCTCCTAGGTCAGAAGGAAATTTGCCCAGCTTAAGAGCATTACTGTTCTCCACTAGAGCAGAAGGTGTTAGTGAAGGGACATGGTTTAGCAAGACTAACAGAAATACGTTCATTTTCTAAAAAGGGAAACAAGGCCCTAATAAAGTGTGAGTATCTAGAATCATGATGAGTGACTGAATCAAAACTCAAAATCGAGTTTGCTGGTTTTAGTTTGGCTGCATTTTTCACTCTAAGCTACTGTCTATAAGGCTTGGTTCGCCTCTCAAACAACTTAAAGTTTAGTGCAAATTAGACATACAAACGTAAACATGTAAAATAGACAGGCAAACATTTACTACAAGCTAGGATGAGAAAGATCCTGTAAGTTAGAAATAACTGAGTTGTTATTTCTTACACAGGAGGAGATGATAAAGTCCTCCTTTGTAAGAAATTTCTTACACAGGAGGAGACAAAGTCAAATTGAATATTAGTGGAAGACTTCAAGGAAAAGTATGCATGCCAGATATGTATCTAAAGCTTCATGATTCAAGGACAATTTACATAGGAATTTAAGTTCTGCAACCCAAATCAAAACATATAAGGAAATAACCACCTCAGTAGATCAAATGAAGACCACAGCAGTTGGAAGATTATGAAACAAGCTTCCTAAAAAAGAAATTTGCAAGGTGGCCTTGAAGGGTGTGACCATAAAGGAAAAGAAAGAAGAGGAATAAGAATTTCCAGGAGGACATTGCTTTGGAGAACAAATACCTGGCAGCAACTTCAAAATTATTTTCTTTTTTGCTTAATGGAAACTTTAAGAGCAATAGATGTTGGGAAGAAAAAGCAAAGAGAAAAAAATATTGTTAATTAGGGACTGATGAGAATCTTGCAAAATCAGCTGTGTCAAAACTTGGGCTAAGCAATGTATCATTGGAAAATGTATAGTGTAGCTAGACAATGCCATGAAAAGAAAAAAGAGCAAGAATGAATACGCTAAACACATGCACATTTGTGTGTACAAACAGGCACATGCAGATATACAACTTCTTTAGTTCTCTACAAGATAGTGGGAGCCATCAATTTATTTCTATTCTTAGTATAGTCCCTGGGTTACTGTCATTCCTTGAAGATCAAGTTCGGGAATAGCAACAGCCATTTCTCTTTATCGTACACATATTCTTTTATATATATATTATTTAATCAAAATTGGAAATCAATGAATTCTTCATTATTGTGTGGCAGAATTTGAGTCCTATATAAACAAATTTTGTAAATATTAAATGAGTTTTAAAGGCATATTTTCATTTGTAAAGCAGAATTTATTGACCTCAATATTACATTTTCTTTCTTTGCATTTGCCAGCTGAATATTTTTCTGAGCTTGAATCTTGGCATCTGTTTTAGAAGTCACTTGCTGGAATGCGACATGATTATTAGAGGTTTTGTTTTCCTTGTATAATCTCAATACATCATATACAATGACTTTTTGTTAACCTGGGGAAAGCTGGCAAGTCTGATAAAGGGTGGGAATTAGAAACAGAGGAGAAAGGAGGAAGTGAATGAGCGTGAGATAATGGAAGAGGAGACAGGATCTGTTATGTGTTGACCACATGAATCAAGCCAGTTGTTCTCAATTATTTACCTTTATTATGTGTAGCATAGCTCAGTAAGGTACTGATGATACAAATAACATCATTCTCATTTCACAGATGAGTAAAATGATTCCAAAGGAGTAAATTCATTATCATACAGAATGAGAGATAGTCAAAATTTGAAATCAGATATTCTACTCAGAAGTCACCTGATCAGCATGGTTTTAACAAAATTAAATAAGCTCTTGTTTTTGTATGAATATTATTTTTCTGACAGTACAGACATATAATTCATTAGAATAACAAAAGATGTAATGTGTAAAATATTTCCCTTTCTCTTGTTTCTTCTACGGTATCTCATGTTCTGATTTGGGAAATAAAATGGTTGTGCTAGATTATTTTTGAAGTCCCTTTAAGTACTAGAATTTTATGATAGATGACTCTGGGAATTTGTAGAAAAACAATGGAGGGTAATTTTGTGTATTTAGGAGATCTACAGAAATTAATCCTGCTTTTTTGGAACCCAACACATTCAAGAAAACTTAAACACTGAATATGTTCCAGGCTATCTGTTAGTTGCTGGAATGTTAACATAAAAGGACTTGTCACTACTTTTCAAGAGCTCATATATCTCAGGTTGGTGAAAACCATAATGGGGAGAGGACGAAGAAAGAGCAAGTAAAGAAGCAAATGCAATTTCATGTTGTCTTGGGAGCTCAAGGAAATGTCAATATCTACCTCCAACTGCCTTCAGGTTGCCATTAAAATTAAGTAGCATAATGATATCAGGAGATGCATAGCCCATTATATTATGACATTGGGTTCTCAAAATATGGTTGTTAAAGCATAAAAGTAATTGCATTTTTGAGTCAATACAATGAATAAAACAAGAAGTGATGAAATGGAGAATATGCAAGATATTCCATTTACTTCATGTTGGATGAGAGGAAAGTAAGGACATAAAAGGAGTGAAGGATAGAGTAAAGGTGATTGTGTAAATAATTTTGAGACATGGTGAGATCAAACACTTTTACAACTTGTTATTACCATAAGGGAGTTGGAAGGATAGAGGCTATGGTCAGAAAGTGGGATGCTTGATATTGAGATTATGAAAATTGTTAAGTTAAATAATGATAGGGCTTGGGTATGACCATGACATTCCCTTGTTGCAAATGAAGAGATGAAGTTCATGAAAAGTCAGGTCTACACTACCTATGTGGATACTGGAATCGCCAAAAATTAAGGTAAGAGCAATGTGGAAAAGAGGGGCAGAGAACCTTGTGCTGAAATCTTCAGAGAATGAGAGGAGTGAACTGGTTGATAGAGTGGTGGCCACATCAAAGAAGAAGAGTGAGCAGTACAATGTGATGACAAGAGCTACAAACCTGGGTGGCTTTTGAAAGAAGTGGTACTTGTAGGGGGAGCTAGCCTTGGAGTGTAACATGCAGAATAAGGAATTAACTTCCTTCAAGTCCTCATTCAGTGGTGCTAGGGGGCGTGGAAGAGAAAGCAGACATTGTTGAGAAAGCTGCAGGGAAAACAGTGCCCTCCAAAAAGAAGCAGATTTCCTTAGAGCAAAGAGCTTTGCTAACGATAGGTTAAGCTTTTCAGATAGTAAAGTGCAAACATTTGGAAAGATAGTGAAAGGAAGTGATGATAAAATAGGGATTTTCAGAGCAGTAGGGAGGCAGGTATCTGTGGAGAAATGATGACCATAAGAGCTCAGATTCTTGTGGATTTTGACGTAGTTATTACTAAGGATCATCACCCAGGCGTGAGTCCTGATGTTCTCCAAGGTGGATTGTTTTGTGGTGCCAGTTTTCCTAAGGAAGGACAGGTGAGGACCTGGTTAAACATGGGCAGGGCTCCTAGTTTTCCTTCATCCTGGTCGTCAGGGGAAGAGTGTCATCACCAAGGACTCATCCTATTGGTATCTTACTGAAAAACAGTGCTTTAGTATTCTGGCAAACTGGCAATGTCTAAGTAGACAGACATGATGTTTAAAATCTTTTCAGAATAAAATATTTCCACTTTAGAACAGTGCTATTTAAGAGAATATATAAATATTTCTGTGAGCCATGTTGGGGCTAAGAGACACTACCTCAAAATGTGGCACAGTAGATGTCATTCTCTGACCTTCTCCCACCCTTCTTTTTGAGAGCTCGCCATGAAGGAATTACCTGACCTTCCTCCCCTGAAAGCTGGTCATAAGACCATAAGACTTTCACGTGAAACATTCCCCCCCTATACCCAGAGGGAAGGAATAAAGACACAGGCCAATAAAAACCTGAAAACAACAAGCCTTGCTGACTTCCCTCGGTTTATTATTGTTAGACCGCACCCTTTTATTCAATCATGCTTATAAACAGCTGTCTATTCTTCATCAAACCTAAGAATAAAAATAAGTTTTTCATGTGTCATTAGGTCTTCATTTCTGAAGGCTTCTGTGTCACCTAAAACTTTGCTTAAATAAATGTGTTATGTTTTTCTCCTGTTAATTCATCTTCAGTTATAGGAGTGTCAGCCATGAACCTTGAGATGAGTGAAAAAAAGGTATTATTTTTCTCTCCTATAGCCATATAAATAATTTTAAATTTTCTAACAGCCATATTTTTAAAAAGTAAAAAAAAAAAAAAGTAAATTTTCACTAGCATATTGTATTTAACTCAAAGTATCCATATATTAAATGTTACGGAAACAGGTCAGGGTCACCAGTCTCATTGTCTAAGATGTTATCCAAACTCGTCAACTCATGACCAAGAGAATTAAGGAGGGTGGACACAAAGGGTGAGGTTTGAGAGAAAGTTTAATAAGCAAAAGGAAAAAGCTCTTCACAGTGGAGAGGGGAGCCCAACTGGGTGCCATTTTTACCCTGGAATTCAAAAGCTTTTATAAGAAACTCCTTTCATCTCTGTAGCTGTTAGAGTAATTTCTCTTACCTGAAAAGCTGTCTGCACAACTCCCCCTTATCTATGTGGTTGTGAGTATGTCGCTAGGCAAGCACGGAGTGCCACTTCTCTTGTTTGTATAACTGTGCATTTGTTTTAGGTAACCCCCCCTCCTCGCATGCAAGTTCCCATGGAGCCCATTGTGTACATGTTTGAAAAGGGAAGGAAACTTTTTCCTGGAAGCCTGCTAATCAAACAAAGAACAAGAGGCTTCTGTGCTGGACTCTGCCTGTTTATCTGTGCAAGTGCAGCCTGAGTTTTTCCTCAGTGTGTATTTTATACTTAACACATCTCCCTTGGACTAGCCACAGTTGAAATTGTCAATGTCCATATGTGTCAACCAGATTAAAGAGCACAACTCTAGAACTTTATAATCTGGTCACTACAGAAGAATAGAGCAGTTCTAATGTAAAACACTAATTTAGCATTATTTTTCCAAAGCAGTAAGCACAACCGTGGCATATTCCCACTTTGATCTCATGTTAAGAATTAAATCTTTTTCACACTTTAATAATGATAATAAGGTGAGCATTATGGAAAGTGTATTTCCAAACTCACGTATGAACACTGAGAGAGTATAACCTCGTCAAATGTTAATGAAAATCTGGGTTTAGAAGTCACCAATCTATCTAGTGTGACTGTCTTGATCCTATTCTGACAGCCACAAGTATAAAGGAAACTGATGACCAGTTGATGGAAAAACTAAGAAAATAAAGATCATGCATAATTATTAGCTCCTCCTTCCTTTAGCCTCCCTTTGGTGTCTCCACCCTCTAGTGTTGGAATTACTCATAGGTTCCACTGACACTTTAAAGCCAGCTATAGTTTTCTCTAAGTCTGTAATACTGTGATAATGCATAATATCTAGCAATATTCTGGTAATCTTCCCAATACCATCTGTTAGTCTCTGCCTCTGACTAGGTTTTGTATACTAGCATTAAACTGTTGAATAAAATATGATATTATTATTATTTTCATTGTTATGATTATAACAGTCATTATTATTATTAGGTATAGTAACTCAATGATGCTGACATAATTTGGAAGAAGTGTCTTTCGCACAAACTCTACATTGTTGTAGGAATCATTTTCCTGTTCTCTTGCTGATTTTCCAAATACAGCCTGGAATCTTTCACTCCATGCTTGGCCCATCAGGTGGTCTCTCCTCTTGCTAACTGATGAGATTTGGGTGTGTAGACATATAATATCTTTCCTTTGTATCCCAAGTTTTGAAAACAAGTGAGAGATATGGATATCTATTATCAGCTTTATTATTCTCTAACATCAGTTTTTTTCTTCAATATTTGACCAGTTCCTCAACCCTCTCCACCCAGTCTCAGGCAGAGCTGACACTGGTGTCAGCCAATGAAGGCAGACTGCTTGCCACGTGACAGACAGAGCAAGCCTGCCCTGCCCCCTTCATGGAAGAAAGAGAGAGAACCCACCAGGGACTGAGCTGCAATTGTATGGTTCTTTGTCCCAGTGTCACTTGGCAGATGAATCCTGTTTTTCTTCCCAAGAAGTAGAAGTTTTTTGCTCTTGAGGGAAATGTGAGAAGTGTAGTATACATTTTTCCTGCAAAATCAATAACTGCCTGAGTTCCCCACCTCCCACTTCATGTTCTGGCAATTTTAGGCAGCTTCCAGCCACCCCAACACCCTCCCTTCTGTGGATGCTCAAGCTGTTCTCTCTGCCTCTTTCTGATTCACCTAGCTCAGTGGTTCTCTCAGTGGTTTTGCACCAGCCCACATCTCAGAGGGCTTACATGACTCATGTGTATTTCTCACCAAGCTCCACATTTAGAATGAGATGGTGGGGGTGAGGGTGAGTACAAGGCTGGGCCTGAAGGCCTTTACTATCCCTGCATCAGGAGAAATAATTCGATTCAATCACACACTCACTTTTAAGATTTCTGCATGCAAGAGATAAGCTCCACTTCTGTTCAAATCTCATTAATCAAAGGAAGTCACATGGCTATACCCAATATTTAAGGGAGGAGAAGTTCATTACATCATGTGCCCAGAAGGAGCAGAAACCTGGACACATCTGGTGCACAGACTTAATGACAATCATAGGTGGCAAAGGGGAAAATCATGTTCCAACACCTGCTATCCATCTGTTTAATGGTTAAGGGAAACAGCATGAGGCAACAGAGTAAAGAGTGAGATTGGGTCCACATCAGGTCCTCTTTCTGTCAGACATCTCAAGGAGTGAGTTATTTAACTGATAGCTTCCCAATCTCAAGTTTCATTTGAGATAATAGGGTGATGGCTAATGGAACAAGTTTTGGTCTTTCAGGATAAATTTACCTACCTATCTTTGATTCCTGTTCACTGGTGGTGAAGCCTTATATTACAGACTGAATTATGCCTCCCACAATAATTCATAATTGAAGCCCTAATCCACAAGATGATGGTATTTAGAGATGGGATTGCTGGGAGATTGCTATGTTTAGTTGAAGTCATGAGGACAGGTCCCTCATGATTGGGTTAGTGTCCTGAGAAGAAGAGGAAGAGACAGCAGGTGCTCCATTCACATAGTGTCCTGAGAAGAGATGAAGAGACAGCAAGTGCTCCGTTCACATGGGGACAGAGAAGATGACTGTCTACAGGCAAGGAAGAGAGCTCTTACTAGGAAACTGAATCTATGGGCACCTTGATCTTAGATTTTCAACACTCAGAAACTGTGAGGATAATTTCCTGTTGTTTGAGTCACTTAGTTTGTGGTATTTTGTTATGGCAGCCTGAGATAAGTGTTAAAGCAAACTCAGAGGCCTGAGAAGGACTCTGTACTCTATATTTGAGTTATTGCAGACGAACTGTAACCTAGCTTAATAGGCAGACAAGATTGAAAATCTAACTTAAGAGTATATGCCTGTAACTGAGTGTTGGCCACTCCCAGAAGCCATATTTCAACCACTCACAGACTGCTAATTGTTCAAACTCTGTTGAAATAAGGCAAAAGCTGAGCTGTAACCAATCCAGCTGTTTCTGTACCTCACTTCCTATTTCTGTACGTCACTTACCTTTATTTTGTCTGTAAATTTGTTCTGAGCATGATGCATCCCTGGAGTCTGAATCTGCTGTGATCCTGGGGGCTGCCCAGATTTGTGAATCATTCATTGCTCAATTAAACTCCTTTAAATTTAATTCAGCTGAGGTTTTTCTTTTAACATGACTAATACACCTTATATACATCTCTGCCCTTCTCTGATTCTCAGCTCCATCATTTGCGACATGGACATCGTCCTTTCCACCCACCTTCCTCAAAGCATTTTAGGGAGGAACTGAGTAAAAAAGGAAATCATGTCATTAAAATGGCTTTGTGACCTATACAAAAGTTAAAGTGAGTAGACAGCCTGCCTGTCATTGTGTTTCAGAGCCTCTTGTTTTTCTTTCTTTTTCTTTTTCTTTCTTTTTTTGCTTTTTGACATGGAATTTCACTCTTGTTGCTCAGGCTGGAGTGCAGTGGTGCAACCTCAGTTCACTGCAATCTCCGCCTCCCATGTTCAAGCGATTCTCCCACCTCAGCCTCCTGAGTAGCTGGGATTACAGGTGCCCGCCACCACTCCTGGCTAATTTTTTGTATTTAGTAAAAATGGAGTTTCACCATGCTGGTCAGGCTGGCCTCGAACTCCCAACCTCAGGTGATCCACCTGCCTCGACCTTCTAAAGTGGTAGGATTACAGACATGAGACCATCGCGCCTGGCCTCTTGTTTTTCATTTGATATAGTTTGGTTCTGTGTCCCCACCCAAATCTCATGTTGAATTATAATCTTTAGTGTTGGAGGTGGGGTTTGGTGGGAGATGATTGAATCAGAGGGGCAGTTTCTAATGATTCAGCACCATCCCCTTAGTGCTGTCTCAGGATAGAGCTCTCACAAGATCCGGTTGTCTAAAAGTGTGTAGCGCTGCCTCCTTCCATCGCTTCCTTCTGCCCCAGGCATGTGGGATGTGCCTGCTTTCCCTTTGCCTTCACTATGTTTGAAAGTTTCCTGAGGCATCCCCAGCCATGCTTCCTACACAGCCTGCAGAACCGTGAGCCGATTAAAACTCTTTTCTTTATAAATTACCCGGGCTCAGGTAGTTCATTATAGCAATATGAGAATGGAATAATACATCATCTATGGAATTTCCTTCTTCCCAGCCTTGACCAGCTTCTTGGTCCACAGTCACATTTTATTAAGGAGTGCTGGTTACAGTAGGGTAACATGATCAGTGATCATGTCATAGGTTAAGGAGCTGCAGTAACACAAGTGAAAAGCATTCTTGCCAAGTTTTGTTGTTTAAACTGAATTAGCATCCTCTGGGAAGCAGAAACACAGCAGAGATTCCACAAAGGCCATCCATCAGTGGAGACTATCAGTAGACCCGGGTGAGAAGCAGCCCTGCACTGATAACCTTGTGTGATCTTGGCCAAATCACTTAGCATCTCTGAACTTTGGTGGTAAAAGCTGCTAAATTGAATTAATAGGAGCTCTTATCTTACAAGTCCATTGTAAGGAAAAAAGAAACAAAAGTTCAAAGGATTCATTTGTTTGTATGGGGAAGCCCAGGAACAATGTTGTATTGGGAAGAAGGGGAGAAGTAAGCAGGAGTCCAGGCCCTGAAGAAAGCTCCCAAGCCCATGTCAGTAGATGCATGACTGAGGCTGGGGTTTCACCCCTTATCAATGCATCATGCAATCACTTCCTTTAACATTATGAATTTTTCGGGTGCTGGAAATACAATATTCAAAATAGAAATGGCCCTTGTCCTCCTGAGAAAAATGGAAACTAATCAAATAAATATATAGAATACCATGGAGGAAAATGAAGCCCGAGAAGGCAATGAGGAAAATGGCATAAATGATGTGTGAGATAGAGCCATGCCAGATCTGAGGTGCAAGCATTTTAAGCAAGGAAAGCAGTTACTGCAAGAGCCCTGAAAAGAAAGAATGTTTCTGAAAAAAGGCAAAAAATCTGGTGTGGCTGGAGCAGAATGACTGAGGGAATGGGGCTGGGAAAGAACGTGAAGGCAATCAGTTTCAAGTTTGTTGGCCTTGGACAGATTACAATTGACCTTGAAACAACCTGAATTTGAAGGGCGTGGGTCAAGTTATACATGTATTTTTTGCAATGAAATTTACACCAAGTGTGCTTGGCTCTCCTGCCTTCCCTTCCACCTCCTCCACCTCTTCCAACTCTGCAACACCTGGGACAGCAAGACCAACCCCTACTCTCCCTCCTCCTCAGCCTATTCAGTGGAAAGACAATGAGGATGAAGACCTTTATGATGATTCATTTCCACTTAATAAATAGTAAATCTATTTTCTCTTCCTTATGATTTTTTTTTTTTTGAGGAGTCTTGCTCTGTTGCCCAGGCTGGAGTGCAGTGGCGTGACCTTACTTCACTGCAACCTTCGCCTCCTGGGTTGAAGTGATTCTCCTGCCTCAGCCTCTGGAGTAGCTGGGATTACAGGTGCCCGCCACCACGCTCGGCTAATTTTTTGTATTTTTAGTAGAAACGGGGTTTCACCATGTTGGCCAAGCTGGTCTTGAACTCCTGACCTCAGGAGATCCGCCCTCCTTGGCCTTCCAAAGCCTGATGATATTCTTAATAACATTTTCTTTTCTCTAGCTTAATTATTGTAAGAATACAGTATGTAATACATATAACATAAAAAAAACTTAACTATTTATGCTATCAGTAAGTCTTCCAGTCAATGGTAGGCTATTAGTAGCTGAGTTTTTGGGAAGTCAAGCTATATGTGGATTCTTGACTACACAGGGGTTTGGTGCCCCTAACTCACATGTTTTATAAGGGCCAATGTATTACATGGTTTAAATGTATTTCTGCTGAACCTCATATGTCATATGTGGTGGGTAGAGTTTTGTCACTATTACATAAAATACCATATTTGAAAGCACACCATGTCCTGAAATCATAAGACATCTTTTAAAAGGTAAGAAATCAGCCAGGCATGGCATGGCTCCTGTACCAGTTCCATTCTTTCCCAGCTGAATAACCCACCAGCTTCCCTGCTTCCATCACCACTTGAAGTCCCTGAAACCTACTGCAAGGATCATGCACAGTCCCTGATTCAACCCAGACTTCTGCCTTAATTCTTGAATGAAATAATAGCTACAAAGCTTTTAGAAGAGTACCAAGTACACTGATGTTAGCCACTGTTGTGTGTGCGTGTGTGTGTGTGTGTGTGTACGTGTGTGTGTGTGTGTTTTTCTCCCCCATTGCCTTCGTGAGCTGGTCAGCATAACACTGAACAAAATCTTTAAGGTCCCCTCTTTGGATACCTGTCCCTAGAACAATGAGCAAGGACTGAGCTAAATGTCTTTTTGGGTTCTTCTCCTCGGTGTGGCCAACAAACAGAAAGGAAGAAGGCATTCATAAAGTAGTTCCGATTATGAAAGATGAGAACTTCAAGGAAGTAGTTTCCATGGAGCCCCCAAATATCTCAGTGTTGAGAAAAATCTGTTTTCTAAGTTAAGAATGAACAGTAGATAAGGTTGTTGGGTAAAGGTTGGTGTGTTAGTCTCTGAGGGCTGCCTTAACTAAATCCCACAGACTCAGTGGCTTAAACAATGGAAACTTATTTTCTCACAGCCCTAGAGGCTGGACGTCTAAGACCAAGATGTTTGCTGAGAGATCTTTCTTTCTGACTTGCATTTGGCAGCTTTCTGACAAGTTCTCACATGGCCTTTCCTTTGTGCATTCACAGAGAGAGGGAATGGAGGAAGAGAGAGGGGGATCTCTGATGTCTCTTCCTCTTCCTATGATGACACAAGGCCTATCAGCTTAGGGCCCCACTAATATGACCTTATTTAATCTTAATTACCCCCTTAAAGGCCCTATCCCCAAATACAGTTAACATTGGGGTTCAGAACTGTAACATGTGAATGCTGGGGTAACACAATTCGGTCTATAACAGCTGGTCAGCATAGATAGATAGATAGATGATGATAGGTGATAGATAGATGATAGACAGATAGATAAACATGCATACATATAGCTAGCCATCAAACTGTTAGTCTTCTGCATAATTGGTTTTTGACCTAAGAGCAAACTGAATTTTCTCTTCCAGCAACAACATTCACCAAAAAAAGAAATGTTATTATACCAACACATGAATGTTCACCATCAGTATATATTTTTTATATATTTGAAAGTACATTTTATGACAGTAAGAAAAAGGATAATTTACTTCTGTTTTAACAATTAATATTTAATGCATTTAATGTTACAAAGTCAAAATTTTGTTCTTCTTGTGCTTTTACATTTAATTTAAAAATCATCTTATTTTTTATTAGTACATCCAGAAAAATATTTAAAAGCTCATAAGTAACCCTTCCAACTTAAGGTCCATTAACTGCTTTAAAATTTATTTATAAATTTAATGTGTTTATTTTTACTTTTAAGTACTCCAATTTTCTAATAAGCTAAGTTTCCCAGATACTTAACCACTTTTTATAAATTTAATAGATCAAAATTACAAGTATCTTGTTATACTTTTCACAGATATAGTAAAATTGTCTTAAACTATTCAAATTAGAATGACAAGCAAAATCAAATTTTCTAATCCACATTTTAAATTGGAATCAAATTAATCTGTTATATACTCTAGGATGTCAAATTATACTTTAACATGCCAAAGTCTTATAAGTTATGAGTAATTAAAATGTCAAATAAGCTCAGGTTATTTCCAAACTTAACACAAAAATATTAACACTATGAGTTATAATTTGCTTCATCATGTTCAGAATTAAGTCTAGAATTTCCTGTGGTTAAACTACTCACTCATGCACCAATTTATTCATACAACCTTCAGAGCCTGCCATATGCCAGGCACCATCTGAGACGCTCGATCTAAAACAGCAGGGAAAAAAAGACCAGTATCCCCAACCTCATGAAACTTAAATGCAAGGGGAATGCAAAGCAGAAAGACCAACAAAGAACTACAAATTAAATCATGTGGCATGTCAGATGGAGATTACCATGAACAAAAGAACACTGGATAGGGAGTTCCTGAGTTATTACGGTGGCACTTTTACTTAGCACAGTCAGGAAAGAGCTCCTGTAAATGGTGACAATTGAGGAAACACCTGGAGGAGGTAAAGAAGTCAGCCCATGGATATCTGGGTCAGAAGCACTCCAGGCAGAGGGATGAGCAAACACAGACACCCTGAGAAAGGAATGCAGCTGGCATGGTGGAGGAGTAGCCCAAAGGCCAATGTGAGTGTGGCCCAAGCAGGGAGAATGAAGAGACAACAGGTAGGGGATGAGGTCAGAGAGAGAATGAGGTCTAGGCTGGCTGGGGTTTTCCTGAGCATTTATTCTCAATGAGAAGGGAACTCAGTGAAATGCATTGAGCATGGGAACGACATGAAGTGTCATGACGTGATATGAGGTTGGCAGAAAGACTCTAGCAGCTGTTAGGTGAGACTGTGTGTAGAGAGATGGGGAACGCAAGGGCAGAAGCCAGAAGGCCCGTCAGAGGATCCTGCACATCCCAGATGAAAGGCGATGGGCATTTTGACCAGGCTAGAAAGAGTAGAGGTGATGAGCAGTGGGATGTATTAGAAAGGAGACCCAAGGAATTGACTTCAAATTCCAGTTCATTAGTGAAAGGTGTTTGGTCTGAGCCACTGGCAGAATGAAATAAAGAAGACTATAACAGAAGCCAGTTTAAGGGAAAGCAGGGAATTCAGTTTGGGCCATAAGTTTAGGAACTAAATTAAATATCATGTGGAGATATAACTTTGGGGTTAGATTTGTGAGCCCGGACAAAAACAAAACAAAAATGTTCGGTATTCAGCAAACTTGAGATTACCTATTTACCAAGCAAATTGGGGTTTCATATTAACCAGAAATTTTCACAGGGATGTAAGAATTAGAGCTATAAGTAGTAGGAGTGATTTTTTTTCTTACCCTCTTTATATGGAGAAATGTGGAAAAGATCTCTAAGGCCGTGATCTCCAAATGATGTCTAATAGCTCACATCCCTGGGATTCAAGTTTTAGCTAATCTAGTTATTAAGCCAGTGATTTTTGTTGTTATTGTTGTTACAGTTTTTAACAATTTAATAGGATACAACTTGTGCATTTATTGTCTGATCTATCCTGAATCTGTTTTACATTCTTCCTGTCTGACAGGGCTATGATTCTCACTGATATTTATTTGATTGGGTTCTATATCCACTTCTTGCTCTTTTTGAATTTAAGTTCCTACCTCTCAATGTCCAGTAAAACTTTTCATCAGCATTTCTTTTTCTTTTGTTTTGTTTTGATTTTGGAGGTAAGCTCTGCCCTCTCCAGGCTCCTGTTTGAATATACAAATATTGTGGGAAGGAGAAATACATTAAGATCAATCATACTTTACTTTTTCTCAATCTGAGAGTTAAGGTGGCAAGAAATCCTTTTGGCTTTTCAAAAAGTGAACAGAAGTGTTCCATGTGAAGAATTAGGGTATCCAAAGAACAACTTTGCCTGATTAATTGTGGTGCTGTCAGCCGGATCAGAAAAGCAAACTTTTCCAGGCTATGACATAGTAGGGACATATATCTTCTCTTAGAGCTCAGTTACCCAAAAGCCTCCACTGTGATCAACATTCTTGAAAAGGAAAAAAAAAAAATGCTTTCTGGAGAGTCCAGTTAGCTTTGTGTAAATCCATATGGCAAAGGTGTGTGCTTTACTTGAAATAATTCCCCACCTTCCCAAACCACTATAAGATGGTCTTTACACAAGTTTAACCAATGCTTGGTTATGAGAAGAAAGAGATCAGCTGTTACCGGAAGAGCTATTGGAAGCTGGCGGTCAAATGTGAGCAATGTGAGCAGAGGCAGAAAGTGTGAAATTTACACACAGACTTAGCCATCTAGAATCACAATAAAATAACATGAATTTCTCAAGTAAACACAAATTTATTAAGAAGAGCCAAAGGCATTTAGTATCGTTTAGGTAAGAAAGCAGAAACAGGTTTATAATATGTATATGCTAAACACAAATCTAGTAAAAATGGCTGAATGACAAATTTTAGCACTGAAATAAGTACATTTTCAATGATATGGAAAATATTTTCTGAGAATTCCAAATAACTGAAGATTTGCTATAGAATAATACATTATTGTCTCTAAAAGGATGCATCAAATGCATTTTCTTACAGTGCAAACAGGTCTAAGAAGGTTAGATGGTGTTTTCAAGATTACATAGCATGTTAATGTAACAACCTGAATTAAAATTGAATACGACAAAAATATCCAGGATTGAGATTTATTCAATCACGCTTTGGGTTAAGATTTAACTTTCTATTTTTTTTTAACCACAATCTGATTGTAATATGATTCTTTATAAGTAACTTAAAATGACATTTACCATTTTCTGTACTTCATAAAATGCTTTATTTTTCTTTGTTTGTGATCATCTGGATGTTTTTTCTTTCAAGGACCATATGCCCTTAAGCCAGTTTTAACTTGGCTATTTTTACTACATCTTTAGTTTTCTCTAATTAACCAGATTGCTTTCTTTTCATTTTTCCTGTTAAGTCCTAATTTTGAAAAGCATTCCGTATGCAGCTTAGTGCATTTCTCCATTAAGTAAATCTGCCTTCTTTATTGGTTGGCTGTACTATGTTCGCTCCAATTTCTCTTGTATCAAGTAAAGAGCTTAAAAACTATTAAAAACATGATGCACTATGTGTCTTTATGGGCATGTATTTTGTTTCATTTACATTCCCTTTCCTTTATTCTTATTATAAACTTTTCAGACCTACAGATAAATGTAGGTATTCAAAAGATTGAAAAAATAAAATAATATAGCACTATATAGGGTCCTTGTGGTCTAATTTCTACATCAAAATTTTTTCATGAAGATATCATATTGGTGAGTGGAATATTTACAATCTACAAATACAACATTTTTTCAAAGATACTGTTTCGTTTCATTTTAGGTGATATCTTTCCAGAACATTTACATGTTTCATCTTACGATAAACTAATGAAAGAGACATCATTAATATAACCAGGAAGTTCAAGCACCACACACTACATGGCAGTACTGAGGGCAAGCTACACATCTCATTTCCTCTTCCCCGAAAGTATTCCATTTTTCCCCGGTTCTGTATGTGGACTGGTGGTCAAATCTGTCTCAAGCGTGTTTGGAAGACTGTCACTACGCTAACAACAATAACATCAGAAATCAAGGATCAACAGAGAAAGCAATATTTTCAGTGGATATTATCTAACTACTGAAAAGTTCATCACTTAATAAAATAGATATTTTTTCTCATTTTAAACATTTGTAATGTATGTATTCCAGAAATACATCAATCATTTCTGTGTATTCTTTTAATAAATTGCACATGCTGTAACCTTTCCATGATGCCTCGAGATCACAATCACGCATTGTAATTACCAAGTTATTCTGTCTAACCCGTATATCATCTGTGGCTTCTTTACACTGAAGCTGGAGATGAGGTCTGCTTGAACCTATATTCTATACCTTATGTGAGGTTTAATGTTTGTCTTAATTTTTGTCTTGGCTGCTATAATAAAAATACCATAGACTGGGTAGCTTAAAAACAAACATTTATTTCTCACAGGTCTGGAATCTGGGGATTCCAAGATCAAGGCACCAGCCTTGGTGTCCGGTGAAGATCTGCTTTCTGGTTTACAGATGGTGCCTTGTTTCAATGTCCTCACGTGGTGGAAGTTATGAGGGAGCTCTCCGAGATCTCTTTTTTAAAAGCACTAATCCCATCCATGAGGAATCTACCCTCCTATCCAAATTACCTCTTAAAGGCCCCCCTCCAAATACCATCCCCTTAAGGGTTAGGATTTCAACATATGAATTTGGGGGAACATAAACAATGTATAGCAATGTTCCAACCAAAATGTATGCAGACCCAGAGCATCAGTGTTCACCCTCAGCTGGGTTGTCTTCCCATGTGATTGTCTTCTATCCGCTGTAATCCTGCTCATTCTTCTTCCCAGGCATTTCAAACAAAGAGGGGAGGGGACTGCATTGAGTTTCAGTGCAGGAGTTTAGGAGAGCTGGGTTCTCAGCATAATCAAGAGAGTAGAGTGATTCTGCATTTGGTTATGAGTAGCAGAGGGATGAAGGTATCTAAATCATTTCTACCACATTAGCACTTACTAAAGCAGGGGAAAATTGTTTATCTTCTATCTATAAGCCCCATGAAGGTAGGGGCCTGATCCATTTTTTTTGATTCCTGACTTCAGAACTGCCTGATACCCACAAGGGACTAACGACTGAGTGAATGAAGGGAAGAATGAATAAGTAATCAACAGACAGGATCTACCTCAACTGCTTTACTTGTACCCACTCAATCATCACAGCAATACCATAAGGTAAATGCTACTTCTCCCAGTTTTCAGATAAGAAACAGAAGTCCAAGCATTTCAAGTAACTTGCTCAAGAAAATTTACGTATCCAGGACTCAAACCCAGGCAATTTAATCCTGAAGTCCTGCTTACCCTTATCATTACATGTGATTGTCCCTTCTGTCAATTTATCTCTGTGTTGGCATTAACTCAGACACCTTGGACATGGCTCAGTCTCGATCCTTATGCACTGAACTCCCAACACTAAACACACACACAGACACACACACACACAGACACAAGCATGCACTCACACATGCAGAGTAGCTTTACTCAGTTTGTCCTGTTTTAAATGTATGTGTATATACATATACAAATTATACTTCTGTGTTCTTAGTTCATATATATATATATATTTCTTTTCTCTATTATAGTTAGTTACTCTAATTTTTAGGGTCTCCATATTTTATAATTCTAATGACATTCTATCTAATGAGAGAAACAGCTTTGTACTAAATATACATAGATTCTTCTGTCATTAAATAATATATTTCATTTTGTGAGTTTGATAGTTTCTGCGTTTTTCTCATCACTGTCAGATTGTCAATGCCAGTTTATCATTTCAAACATAAGTGTAGTCTTAAATTAGTGATGAAATTTAAAATATTCATGTGCTAGTATTTGTGGATTGTACCATTTTCCAGTTTAGCAAAGATAACCTTTCTATTATCGGCTTGTTTTTCTCCAGTTTTTTTTTTACATTACGCGTCTGTTTCTATGCTCTATGATTTCCAGAATTTTTTATGATGCAGAATTTGGTTTATGGCAGAGAAGGGGCAAGATCAGATATCTAGTTTTAATTATGCTATTATTTGCATATTCATGTGTTTTGTCTTTTTGTTTTGTCTTTTATTCCTATGAGCATAGAGATACTTCTGTTTTTGTTGGTTGTTCTACTCCCTATGCCTAGAATAGTGCCCAGCACATAGAAATCATTTAATAATAAAAAAGTATATTCTTCAACTCAATTTATATAAAACAATTACATGCATTCTGTTTCCTAACTATGAGCATGGTGAAATTTAATTTGCCCAGAGAAGGAAACCAAGGTAGCAGAATGACCTATTATTTATTCTGTGCCACTTAAACTTCAAACACTGTGTTAGGCATATTATAGCTGTATATAATGTATAATTTAATTCTAATAACTGTCCGATAATGTTATAACACTTAGAACTAAGGAAACATTAGCTTAGATGTATTAGGTATTCTCATAGATTGTAAATGGCAGAATAGAGTCAGAATACCAAATCATTTTTCCTGATTTGTAAAGGTTTTTCATTCTGATGTTTCCAATGTGATTACCGTAACAATTCCACAACAACATGTATCAGTTTTCTGACAGAGACTTTGACCAGGGGAGAAGAAATAACCTGTCCAGCATGACATAGCTGGTAAATACTTGAACTTGGCCCCAATGAAGACCTGTAATGGTAACCTTGAGTCTTGTCCCTCAAAGTGTAGCATATTATCTGTATTAGCATCATACGGTAGCTTCCTGGAAATACCATGTCTGAAGCCCCACCCTTCGAGACTGGGAGACTTCCTAGTAATTTGTCTCTCAAGAACCAAATGAGGTGTCTGCATGGTAAGGATACAAATCAGGATGGCAGGTAAGTGGGACCATATACCACAAGAATCCCAAGGTAACACATCTGCCCCAGACCCATTTACTACAGTAAGTTGTGCTGATTCCTTAGAACATTACACATCTAATCTTCTGAGACCCAACACATTTGAATTTAAGGCAGGGAGAATCCTGGCATACAGTTTCAAGACAAGGCACAATTTATTACAGGAATCATAATTTCTTCTCCATCTAAAGTGAGATAAAAAGCTGATGGAAGATGCTCTTGGCACTCTGTTAATGGGTGCTAATTAAAGTCCTGCTTTGGGCAAAAGAAAACAGCTGAAGGAGGATTAACACAATAGAACCTCACAGATGGCTCCTGGAACAAGCAAGGTAGGCCAGAGAGGCTATGTGATTAAGACACAACATTATGGAACTTTTAGCAGCTGAAGCTGTTCTGTTCTCCTTATGTATACACAGTATGAAAGTAATTATTCATATGTAAATTGTGTGATTTTTTTTCTCTCTCTTCTTTAAAAAATGCTTATTCACTGTAAATGCAAACTCCAACAAGTAAATCCAACTGAACATTAGTCTGTGGCTCCTTTTTTTTTATTTTCTTCTCTTTTTTTCTGTTTCTAATGCCACCTCTTTTTAGATGTGGCTTTACAAATAAAAAGCACATAACATCTGGAACTGCTTAAAATCAATTTCTTTTCTCCTTTATTTTTCTGTTCTATAACTAAAAATGGACTTTCCAACTTGCATCATGCTTTTTTCCTCCCTTTCCTTTATAAAATAAATAAATGCATGCCATCTGGTCTAACAGCACAGTTGCCAATTATCAGCCCGAGGCAATCCAAAACTGCCAGATAGTCAATGCAGAAAATATGGTTTCAAGAAGAAATGCTAACAGAGCCTTTGCTGTAGTATGGCTTGGCACTACTCCAAATTACCGCCCCACGAAATACTGTCTTATCTCCTAGGGACTTGCAAGAAATCCTTACAATCTGCGTTCTGGTGTATTAGCACCTTGACTTACCTTAATGAAGATGTCTTGAAAACTCAACTGTTTGATAGTTAATGAAACATATTGACAGCTCAGAAAATCAGATCAGCATTCTTCTGATGGAGCTGTGGAGTTCTCAAGTGAATAAATTTTCAATTTGTTCATTTTACTGAGATCGCAGTAGCTTTTTGGTCATGGCCAGCAAGGAATAGAAGCCTTTCCCTGTTGTACTCAGCTGAGCTACGGCTACGGAATGCAATAGATATTATTAGTCACTGATCGTCTCATCAAGAAAAATCACTTGACCTATGTGACTTGAGTGCTAATTGGGTTGTTTTTTAAATTACAGCAATGGAAGGTTTGGAATCATCATAGAGACCTTACTCCTCTGCATTCTGTATATTTGAAATCCACTGAGTTCTAGAAATTCTACTGCTAATACTGTTATGCCATTTCAGTCTTCACCGCTACTATTCAGGTCCAACCTGGTAATATCCTATGCCTGCTTTCCATTCAAAACCTTCTACATGGTCTTTTATTGTCCATTCTTCCTTCATAGCCAGGAGGGTCTTCTGAAAATATGAGTCATACCATGTTATTCCTCTGCTTGAAATGAGGCACTGTTTTGTTCATTGCATTTAAGAATAAAATCCAAAATCTTTAAAAATGGGCTCAAGGATCTCTGCGATCTCATCTCTTGGACCGTTTTGATCTTTTCACTATTTCTCTCCTCAAACTGGTCTGTTGGATCTAAAAGACCAAACATGTCTGCTTTGTTCCTGTCCATCATTCCTTTTTGTAAATTTTACCTAAAAATAATTTTATTTGTGGAAAGTATAATACCTTTAAAACAACAGATATATGTATTCAACTGCAATTCAACGGATATGGATTGGGGTCTTACTTTGTTCAAGACAAGGTTCCTGGTTTTGATTCTGATTTTTTTTTTAATTTTTTAAAATGGGCACTTAAAAATCATGCATATTTGCCATTTGTGTAGTGATGTTGCCATACATATAATGTGTAGTGATGAAATCAGGGTAATTAGCATACACATCATCGCAAACATTTATTATTTCTTTGTATTGGAAACATTTAATATCTTTCTTGTAGCTATTTGAAACTATGTAATACATTATTGTTAATTATAGTCATTCTACAGTGCTATAGAAGACTAGAACTTATTTTTCCTATCTAGCTGCAATTTTGAATCCTTAAACAAATCTCTCCCTATCCCTTTCTTCCCCCTACACTTTTCAGCCTCAGTATCCTCTGTTCTACTGTTTTCTTCTATGAGATCAACATTTTTTAGCTTCTACATGTGAGTGAGAACATGCAATAGGCAACTGTCTGTAGTACACTCAAATGCTCTCTGAATTAATTCAGACTGAATGTTGATTCTATCACTTCCTACATTTGCAGTTTAGAAAAATATTCTGAAAAGTCTAAGCCTCAGTTTCCTTATCTACAAGATGAAATAATTACCCCTCAAAATTTTGCTGGGAGTACTAAAGAATATGCTTATAAAGCTCAGTCAGTTGGTTTCACAAGAATGTTATTGAATAAATTAATGTTAGACAAATATTTTAATGCTGGATCTTTCACTTACTATCTCCATGACTTTAGCCAAATCTTCTAGACTTTTTAAGTCTCCTTATCCTTGGACTGGGATAACAGTATTTTCAGAAGAGATTTCTTGTGAGCAATTAAATCATAAAATATGGGTAGAAGAAACTGGCAAATAGTAAGTGTTCAATAAATGGTGTAACCACCGTTTTACTATTATGGATTTGTACCATAAAAACAAAAATGGTGATTTCACTTTACGTCACTAGTTTCAGAGAATTTTACTCTTATATTTCCCCCGGCACCCTTTGTTGTACCCCTCACCTCAGTCTATTAAAGATACAAGGCTACATGTGAAAAGCCTGCACCACCATGTTATCGAAAACTTATTCAGGACCCTAGATTTATATCTCTCCAAATAATCCCTTTGCTA
This sequence comes from Homo sapiens, assembly GCF_000001405.40. Classification (NCBI taxonomy): domain Eukaryota; kingdom Metazoa; phylum Chordata; class Mammalia; order Primates; family Hominidae; genus Homo; species Homo sapiens. The sequence continues at coordinate 136,472,521 of NC_000008.11, read as the reverse complement.
CTCTCTCCCTGCTTTCGATTCCTATCCCGCCTCTCATTCCCCAGTTTCCTTGGTTCCAAACACATCGTATTCATATCTTGACCCTCCCCTGCTTCAAGCTCCTTAATCGGTGACCTGTGAAGTTTGCCACATCAATTTTGCCTTTCCTCTAAGATGTCTCTTTCCGATTACCTTTGACCTTTTGTTAAGTAACCCACATTTCCAGCCCTGTAACCGTCCCCTTCAGACACTGTTAGGTGTGCTATATGTGCTTTCCTAGCAGCTTCCCTCCATGCCAGCAGGCATCAGACCACACATATATTGTCCACTATGCTGTCTTCCTTTTGAGAATAAAGAACTGACCTAACTTGTTCACTCAGCACGGTGCCTGCTATGTGGTTTCTAAGTCAATAATGTGTTAAAAGAATGAAACCACAAGCTTGATATATCCCAATTTTATGTCCCCAAATACCTGTGCGAGACGTTCAGTTCTATCTGAGCCAGTCCTTCTTGCAGCTGATCAAATATATATTTGAACATTGAGAAAGAACTTCTACATGGGAAGGTTAGTATATACCCTACTTGCAACTTTTTAAAAAAGGGAGAGTGGGACTTACGTCACTTCTCAGAGCATCATTTCTTCATCTGAGTAACAGAGATGACAGTGGTAAGTACATAAAGTTGTGGGGATTAAAGCATTCATAAAGTATTTAACAGAGAAATGTGCATTAATTTTGTTCATCCCTCTGGTATTAAAGTGAAAAGAGAACATCTTACAAAAAGTTATAAAATATGCCAAAAACATTTTAAATTGACCATTGATATCCATATGCTTGTTTTATAATAGAATGAGGTTTGAGTTCCCGTCTTCCTTGAAGTGCTGCGAACAATCTGTATTGCATCCATATATCCAGGTGGAGATAAAGGATGGGAGAATATCCTTCCTGCCACTCACAGAGAATTGCTTTGAGCCTCAGGCATAAGACTTAATTATTCTTATTATCTCATTTTGCATAGATAAAAATGTTGTGATTGCTCATGAAATTAAGCAGCATCTTTTTCAATCTGTTGACATTGATTGACTTGATGTCTTAAAATAATATAAAGGATAAAATGAAAATATGAGAGAACTGCAATGGATTCCAGGCAGTAGTTTTTATAACGAGGAATTTTCAAATTTCAGGAGTTTAGACTACCACTTTGTATACAGTAAAATCAGTAAGAGAGTGATAATGATAGTTGGAAAACTTGTCATATGTTTGTTAAATTATTGGCTATCATAAATATTATGGCATTTAAAAAATTTCAAAACTAACCAAAACCTAAATTCTTTCTTTCTACAGGCAATAATGTTGGTATCCATTATTCATTGTGACATAATTGACTTTATCAATACAATGGCTTCCCATGAGGCAACTATACAAAGCACAGCATTATCTCATCCATTAACATATAACTGGAGAGAACATCTGTTAGGATTGTAGAAATTTTGAATGAAATAATTGGTGATACATTATTTGTCCCAACAGTATTCATGTGCATATTGCAACTTGAACTAACAAATTATATGTCTTCAATACATTTCGTGGAACTTCTTTATTGATAAAAGAGCACAAATTTAGTAACTATTCAAAAATTTGTATGTACCTAGTGTCTCCCAAAACATAGTTCTAGTGGCTGAGAATACACAGATGAATAAGTCATTTTTTAAAAAAAAACACTAACAATTATGAAGTTTATTCTTGGGCTAGCAAGCAAATTGATAATAATAGGAATATATGGTAATTTTTGTCATAGATATAAAATGTAGAAACACTACAATGTCATCAAAACGCAAAAGGGGCGCAGAGATCTGGGAGTAGGAGATTAAAGTAGGGGGAGTTTTAGAAAAAAATATATTATTTGGGCTGAATCTCAATAAACAAAAGCAATACCAGGGCTGGTCATGAGAATGTAAGGGGGGAAGCATATTTTAAACATCCCCGCTTAAGAAGAATATTCTTTTTTTTTTTTTTTTTTTTTGAGATGGAGTCTCGCCCTGTCACCCAGGCTGGAGTGCAATGGCATGATCTCGGCTGACTGCAACCTCCACCTCCTGGGTTCAAGTGATTCTCCTGCTTCAGCCTCCTGAGTAGCTGGGATTACAGGCACATGCCACCATGCCTGGCTAATTTTTTGTATCTTTAGTAGAGACGGGGTTTCACCGTATTGGCCAGACTGGTCTCAAACCCCTGACCTCGTGATCCACCCACCTCAGCCTCCCAAAGTGCTAGGATTACAGGCATGAGCCACTGCGCCCGGCCTAAGAAGAATATTCTTAAGAAGAAGAATAATTGAGAAGGCATAGTTTTATCAATTTGCTATATTGAGGGAATTTTAAATCACTTCTTCTGGCTGCAATGGTATATGTGAAGTAGAGACTGGCAGAAGGTATTACTTGACATGATACAGACTAAATCATATAAATTATAAAGGGCTTTCCTAATTAAGACAGGGAGTTGAAACTTTCCCTTGAAAGTTATGAGGAGTCATGAGGATTTTCAACAGAAATGAGATAACATTGGATATTTGTTTTAGATTATTAGTTTGACAAACGTCTGCAAGGAGAATTAAGGAAATCCAGGTGTCAGGCAGAAGCCCAATGGAAGATGATATTATAGTAACTCAAGTGGGAAAATGATCAGCCATTCAATAGAGAGATCAATGCATTAAAGAAATAGACTACGTAGTTTAAACATTGAACAGGTGTGGTGGTATTTGGTAAGACTTGGAACTGCCCAACTTGATGGGTGGTGCTACAATTATGAAATATGACAGGAGGAGTAGATTTGGATCACTGAGATGAGGAGATTAAATAGTATATCTGAAGACATGTTTTATGCTATTAATTATAGTTGCATATGGTTTTTCAAAATTAAATCGTAGTATACTTTCCTTATCTTCTTATGAAATCATTGGGTTTCAAATTAGTGATGCTTTGCTTTTGTTATATAAAAGAATTAGTAATTTAAAGTGAAATGAGCTATCATGTATTTCTTCAGCCTTATTTTACAGATAACTAAATAAGGTTCAAAGAGAGAAAAATATGTTCAGTTTCCATAAATCCTGAGAATAAGAATAAAGGCTGCCACCAAATTAAATACTGACCAAATTATCTACTAATTCAGCGTCAATTAAAGATCAGGGAACTCTATAGTCTCGTCCTGATTCTTGCCCCTTTTCCAGCACTCTGAATGTAAAACTACTTGTGCAGTCTCATCTAGGTGTTATTTCAGTTTCTGAGCCAATCCTGAAGAAAGCTGGGAAAACAGACAAACAAAACATAGTTCCAAACAAAACATTATGGGACTTAGTTCAAAATTTGTCAGTGGACAGAAGGCAAAATTTCTATGTGAGCCTGAAAACACCTAGTAGAGTTTGTCTTCTGCCATGACCTGCAGTGTTGCCTCTTTAGGAATGATTCTTTTTTTTCTCTAGATTTCAGCCCCATCAGAGTTGCTTGCAGAGGGTGAAAGATATAGGCTGCAAGGTTCCGCAGGTGGGAGTTCAACTCCCCAGGGGTGATTTTGGGTGAAATACTTATCTACACTTCAGTTTCCTTTTCCATAGAACAGGAATAATCAAGGTGCATGCCTCTCAAGAAATGCAATTGAGATCATATATATGACATGACATAAGCTTTGGAAAAGGGAAACTGCCCATTCCCTCACTTTAACACCTGCTCATTAACTAATATTACAACTTGGCGTAATGTTTTTGTTGCTGTTAAACCCTCAAGTTTAATCTATCTTTCTGTGTGCTTCCACATTACCCTCCACATATTCCTTCCTATAAGACATCATTGCAGATATTCGGTGGTGGTTTCAGACCTGGAATTTAGGAGCTGAACTTCAACACTGAGTTTCCTGATCACCCATTGAACCCATTAATCTGTGTCACAAAAATTATTCCAAGTCCCTCTTTTTCCCTGATGATAGTTTATGATATCATCTTCCTCTTTAATATTCCACTTTCTAGTTTCATCCTGGTCTGAAGGCTGGATTTTTACCTGCTTGTCCAGGCCATGAAACACCCCCTGTATCTGCCATCATTGAGGTCATTGCAGTTCCCAGTGAGTCCAGGCACAGGAAGCCACCACATCAAGCATGGTCAGATTATCATCATGACAACCAAAGCCAACCTATGATGGCTGCCCACATGAACAGTGCTTCCTTCACGAGGGATTTCTTGAGCTGTACATAGTTTTTTAAAACATTCTTTAGACACTACTTTGCACCCCTGGTTTCCATTGCCAGTGCTATCACGAGCCATAGCAGCCTCAGTGTCCTCTGAGTCCTGGGAGATTCTTGTCTTCTCCCAGAAACATTGGAGAGTCAAAGGCATGGGCTTTGGAACCGGACAGATCTGGGTTAAAGTCCCTACTCAGCTTGTGTAACAGGACATTGGGTGGCAATTTCTTTTGGTTAAAATGCTAAATCACTTTGAGCCCCAGTTTGCTTATCTTTAAAATGGGCAAAATGAAGCTGCCTCACAAAGTTATGATGAGCACAAGATGTGAAGCTGTAAGTATTGTCCATATACTTATATTCAGCAACACTGCTACAAGTCGTTCAAATCATTGTCTTCCTAATGCCGGGCTTCACAGTGGAGTCCCAACTGGCTTTTTGGGTTCTAGTCTTCACCCAGAAATCCATTCTCCACACAACAGTGTTTTAAAAATATTAATGATGTTACTTTATATTTGTCTTTAAGCCCTGCCTTGTCTTTCCATTGCATTGGCAATGAAAGACAAACACGCACCAGGCCAAGGCTCCTTCCTCTTGCCTCTGCCCCAGCCTGTTTCTACGACTCCCCACCCTGCTCAATGTGTCTGAGGCACACAGGTTTTCCTCCTGGTCCTTAAGCATCTCATACTAATGCCCAGACATATGGCTGCCTGCAGTTCCTCCAGCAGGAAGGCAGTCCACCTGGTTGACTCTTTCAGGTCTCACTTCCTCTATGACTCATATACCCAGCCTTTGCTGCACATCACCCTCTCTTCTATCTCCTTGAATTATTCTTTGCAAATAACTTCCCGTTCTGAATTATTGATTTTTCTGGAAAGTATGTTTTATTACGTACTTATTTGTTCATGATCTATTTCTTTTTCCTTTACGTGAATGTCAGCTTTATGTGAAAAGGGGCTTTGTCTGGCCTGTTCCAGGATAACAGAGCTTTTAAGAATGTAGACACCGGAGTCAGACTTTCCAGGATTAATTCCTAATTTCACCTCTTAATCATTGTGTGGCTCTGGGTAATTTATTTACACTATTTCTCTTCTCTATAAAGAAAATCAATTTATTATAAACTGCTTAACTGACAACAGTGCCTATCACAGTAAATTATTTATAAATTGTATTATTATAATTGTTACTATCATCATCCCACCTATAGGAGATATAGGTAAACAGAGGTACTCAACAAATATCTATTAGCATAGTGTTTGGACCACAATTGGTGATCCAAAAATGGAGTTTGCTCATGTTGATGTCAATGAAAACAACAATAATAATAACATAATAGGACCTTTCTATCGCCATCAGCAGAAGCAGCATTAACTGTGCTGAGTATGAGACTGTTGAAAAGGTGCACAGAAACTATGAAACTGTACAATCTTTTGTTTTGTTTTTTTTTTATTTTCTTCTTCGTAATGCCCAGATATTCAAAACCTGCAAGATGTTTTCAAGAATCAGAAAATAGAGAGGTTAAGAAGATAGACTTGTTGTCCATAAGGATCACACTCCAGTGCAGATAAGAGCATTTAAGGTAATCACCCTGTTCTTAGAGATAGGAAGGGTTTTGAAATCTTAAAGAAAGTGATTCCCACTTCTTCCTAAGGGGGGTGGAATGTTTTCATAGAGTAGGCACCCAATGAATTGTAGTTGAAAGAAAAATTAGAAATTCTTCAAGTAAAGAAAATAGAAATGTGGTTCTAGGAAGAAAGCAAAAAGGGATTGTGATGGCATAAAAAAAAATTCAGGGAAACATGAGATCTAGGAGGATCGGTAACACTGCCTAAGGAGTAGGAAACAGGGTGTGGGGATTCAATTGTATATCAAGGCCAGACTGGCAACTCTCATGGTTTTGGGATAAAGTGTTATAATAAATATCAATGGGGCAATATTAAAATTTTTAAAATGTAGAACTGTAAAAAAATCTGGAATAATTTAATTATTTTAAATTAAATTAATAATTTTGATTAATTATTTTAAATTAATGAAATAATATGCATTTGTTTTGGACAAGGGAAAAGAGCGTTTTGGAAACTTTTATAATATTCATAGTTAGAATTGCTGGAAGGCAACATCTATGAGGAAGATAGAAAGGAAGCAGATTTTAAGGGATTTAAGGCAGAAGGTCAAACAAATTTGGCAGCACTGAGGATGTGAATCTTGAGGGAGGAAAAAATCCAAAGAGATACTGGTATGTCTATTTTGGAAGACAGATTTTTTTATGCCAGACATGTATATAGGGACTGCAAGTTTAGAAATAACCCAGTGGTATAATATTCCGAATCTGAAAATGTTACTTTTGATTTGTGATGAGTTGACCTACAAATTTTTCATTTGTTAACAATTTATTAATGGTTTCCTAGGTGAATATGTTCGTGCAAGGGCTTATACTTAGGGTAATGATGTCAGTTTGGTTAGGACAGTCTTTGTTTTTGACTTATCGTACTGGAATAATTATTACTATCACCCCCTTTTCTTTACAAATGTTTCCTGCTTTGGATCATAAATTATATGGTGACTTAAGTTATAAGGAAATTCAAAGCTAAAAAGTTGAGAGGTCTCTACCTCTTAGGAATTTATAATACAGCGTAAGAGGTAGACATCTTTGAATAAAATATTTTCTAAAAATTGCTATTAGAATAAAATAAAATGTGTGAAGATTCTAAAGTCTGGAGTAACTTAATTTTTATCCCGGCTGCACGGACACTGCTACCTTGATGCTGAACCAGCAGATAACATGTTTTCACAAGGGCTTCTCATTAAATGTCGTTCCAGGAGCATGGCCTCAAGTAAGGGCTAGCATGATGTCCTAGACATTCTGAAAATCCTCCCAAAAACAGTGTGAGGTAGATATAATTATCTCCACTTAGAGAGCTGGAACCCAAGAAGCTGAGTGATAAACTGACTTGTCACGTGGAGGCAGATTTGAATGCCTGAAGGCTGATGTCAAAGATTCTTACCTTCCACTTTTCTTCTACTTCAGAGGACTACAGCCTTGTCTGGAGAAACTGCGTGGAGACATGCATGAATGCAGGTCTCTCAAACGAGGGTCCACATGGTATGTCAGCGCAGGAGAAGGAAAGAAGGAAATCACCTTCTCATCAGGAAGGGTGATTGCTCTTGAGCAAACACGAGTGAAACCCACTTAAAGTTGATTCAGCTAAGCTGACATAATATTCAAAGTGATCCAGGAGGATGTTATAATCAACAGTGTCAAAAGTAGCTTTAAGATCAAGCAAAATTAAAATACTCAAACTGTCAGATGACAACTGCATTAATAAATCATTAAAAAGAAAATCTCAGGCAAATGCTGCTCTGCTGTGAAGTGATAAAAAGCTGGATTCAAATTGCTCAGGGAGATTATGTCTCTTCCTTAAATAGATCTTGTTATGGCTGGCTGTGAATGTTCTGGTCCAAAGAGGCACATTCAGTACCTGATCCAATGGCTACACATAGCACAGTAGTTTATTTCTCAAGATTTAATTGTACTCTTGAAAGAGAAAGAAGGGAAATTCATTCACTGAACAACCGTTTATTAGTTTTTGACTCAGATGAGCACGATGACAGGTGCTGTGTGTACAGAAATTGCTAAGATACAACCCCTGGCTTCAAGATACTTATGGACAAGGAGACTCAATGTTTTCCTTAAACTTATTAAATAATATAATACTTAATGTCAAAAGAGTAGAGATATTTGAGAAAAGCCGGAAGGATTAGGTATTGCCTCTGTCCTTAAGAGTCTTGCACTCCCTTTGAGAAACAAAAGGAAGTGACAGCTGCCAATTTCTTAAAATATGCTTCGTGGGATTTTACTCAATGAAATAACCATAGCATTTATCATCCAAACTGGACTTTTACAAAAGATAAGGACTATTATTAATGATTATATTAGGACAACAGATGTAAACTAGCACACAATAAATCAACATGCATGATGACCCGTGAATCTCAGAACTCAATATGAGAGACTATCACTTCCTAAGAATCTGGGATGGGTTTATTTGGACTTGACAAGTAGTGCAAGTCCTACATCCCATACTCAAATTATCCAGGTCATCTTTGTAAGTGCAAGACCAATCATGGTTGTCACTTATCATTTGGAAAACCATGGAGTAGATATGGTGTACCAACAGAGGAAACAAATTTACCCATACGGATAATAATTCACACAATGTCCAAATTATTTCAATCTTACATGAAGTTTCTCATCTTAAAACACCGTGTTTCTTACTTGATGTGGTCACTGTTGTGGTTTTTTTTTTTTTTTTTGTGAGACAGAGTCTTGCTCTTGTTCAAGCTGGAGTGCAGTGGCAATCTCAACTCACTGCAACCTCTGCCTCCTGAGTTCAAGCAATTCTCCTGCCTCAGCCTACTGAGTAGCTGGGATTACAGGCATCCGCCACCATGCCTGGCTAATTTTTGTAGTTTTAGTAGAGACGGGGTTTCACCATGTTGGCGAGGCTGGTCTCGAACTCCTGACCTCAAGTGATCCTCCGGCCTGGGCCTCCCAAAGTGCTGGGGTTACAGACCTGAGCCGCTGCGCCCGGCCTGTTGTGACTTTAATGTTGCTCTAAAATCCTTTGACAATAAGTACTTGAGGAGCTTCATATTTTCCTGGACTAGATTTATAGAATGAGATTTCACCTTAAGACTAAACCTGATGAGGCTAATGAAATGGGAGTTTTCAGGTTCCTGGTAGAAAGGAAGTTTATTTTGCATTTGGGAGGACTCATCTGATCCCAGAGGGATGACTAGCTATTTTAAAATGTGGCCTCAAAATTCCTTGACAATCTTCCCTAACCTCATGGTTTATGGTTCTCCTCCCCTTGAATCTGGGCTCTGTGACTGATTTACCAACGGAATACGGTAGAACCAATATCGTTCTATTTTTTAAGCCCAGGCTTCTAGGAATGCTCAGTCTAAGAATCCAGCCTCCATATTGTGAGGAATCCCAAACTAGCCTATATGATAGATAACATGGAGAGGCCAAAAATAGGGGTTCCAGCCAACAGCGCAGTGGACCGCTGTGCTGACAACCAGAATCAACTGCCAAACATGTGAGCGAGAATAGCTTCAGATAACTCAAGCTCACAGCTTTTGAGCTTTCTCATATTAAATTCCAGATATCATGGGGCAGATATAAGCCATACTTGCTGTACCTTCTCTGAACTTGTGGCCCATAGAAAGTATGAGGCATAATACAATTGTTGTTTATATCAATACATTTTGAGGTAGTGGGTTGTACATAAATAGATAACCAAAATACTAATGTTAACCTATTTTAAAAGTCACTTATCTACCAGACAAAAAGGAATTTCTCATTTGGTTCTCAACCTGTAAAAAGGCTTTTGATCACTTTTTTTAGCTTTGAATCGGATTCCAACTCTTTGTGTGATGGAACAGCTCTGACCCTAAAGATACAAACTGTTGAACCCATATCACTTTATTTACCCCATTAGCCAATCATGAAAATTGCTTATATAGTAAATAATCAATAAATCTGTATTAAATAAATTAATAAATGATCATGAGATCTGGGCAACAAATTTGTGAAAACTATTATAAAAATAAATGTTAATATTTTGTTATAAATTTTTGTGACTGTCTATATGAAGACTACTGGTCTATTTTTTGAATTACATATTTTAGAGTTTTGTATTAGATTCATTTGGTCTTTGTATAAGATAACAACAGCTTCACAGAAAGAATTGAAAATTATTCTATTCTATTTTATTTAAATCAGAGACTGTAAAATTGGTGTAATTTTTCATAAATGTTTGGTAGACTACTCCAGTGAAAGCATAGAGGTAGGAAAGCTTCTTTAGGGAAGTTTTGTAATTACAAATTTGATTTCCTTCAATGCTATACTTTGAATATTTTTGTCCCTTCTAAAATTAATGTTGAGACTTAATCCCCAATGTTAGAGTATTAAGAGGTGAGCTTTTAAGGAGGCAATTAGGCCACAAGGGCTCCTCACTCATATATAGGATTCGTGACTTGATAAAATACCTGGAGAGACATAGGTAGACTTTTTTGCCTTTCCGTCTTCTGCCAGAGGTTTTCCTCTTGTGAGGGTTCAGCAGCAAGAGGCCTTCCTGGAAGCAGAGACCAGAATCTCAGCAGACACCAAACCAGCTGGCAGCTTGATCTTAAAGTTCCCAGCTCCCAGAACTAGAAGAAATAAATTTCTGTCTTTTATAAATTACCATTCTTGGATATTTTATTATAGCGGCAGGCACAGACTACAACACTTCATAAATATAAAATTCTTCAAGTTGGCCGGGCACGGTGGCTCAAGGCTGTAATCCCAGCACTTTGGGAGGCCAAGGTGGGTGGATCACTTGAGGTCAGGAGTTCATGACCAGCCTGGCTAACATGGCAAGACTCCGTCTCTATTAAAAATACAAAAATTAGCTGGACATGGTGGCAGGCACCTGTAATCCCAGCCACTCAGGAGGCTGAGGCAGGAGAATTGCTTGAACCCAGGAGGCAGAGGTTGCAGTGAGCCGAGATCGTGCCACTGCACTCCAGCGTGGGTGACAAGAGCAAGACTCCATCTCAAAAAACAAACAAGTCTTCAAGGTATCTTTTTCATATTGAGTGAGTTACAGTAGTTTTTGTTTTTCAATAAGTTAGTCCATTTCATCTAAGTTGTCATGTTTTTATATTTTCATTTTTATTCAGGTCATTTTTAAATTTCCCTTGAGGCTTCCTTTTGAACTCATTAAATATTTGGGAGTATGTTGTTGAGTCTCCAGCTGTTGAGGGTTTTCCTTTTATTTTTCTGTGGTTGATTTCTAGCTTGATTCCAGTATGATCAGAGATTATTTCAATTATTTTAGATTTTTCAAGCTTTGCTTAATGTACAGGATACAGTCTATCCATGCATATGTCCTTTTTATACCGAAAAGAATGTATTTCTGTTGCTATGTGAAGTTCCTATGGATGTCATGTAGATCTTGCTTTATGAGAGTGTTTATGAGTTTTTCTAAATTCTTGTCAACTTTTTTGTCTAGTGCTTCTATCAGTTGTTCAGAAAGAGATGTTAAAATGTCCAATTATTAATATTGATTTATCTATGCCTTCTTTCAGTTTTATCTACACTGCTTCATATATTTTTGCAGGTGTGAGGTTTGGTGCACCAGTAGGATTGCTATGCTTGTGTTTTTTACCCTTTTCTTATTATATAATATCTCTCTTGGTCTGTGATATTTCCTTTGCTCTGATATCAAGTTTACTTTAAATTGATATAGCAATTTCTGCTTTCCTACATGTAATATCTTCATAAATAGCTTTCCCTATCTTATTATTTTCAGCCTGCCTATATTGTTATATTTGAATTGAATTTCTTGTAGACAACATATTGTTAGATCACATGTTTTAATATTCTCTGACATTCTCTGTATTTGATACATTTCGACCATTTACATTTAATGTCATTTATATGTTAGGGCTTGCATCTGCCTTTTTTTCTGCTTGTTCTTTGTTTTTCCATTCTCTCTTTTTTGTTCCTTGCTTTGGGCTACTTTAACATTTTTTTAGAGTTCTATTTTTATTTATTTATAGTGTTTCTTGGCGTATCTTGTTTACAGCATCTTAAACGGTGAATCTAGGTATTGTACAGTGTACTGTGCTGTCATTTTACCAGTTCAAGTGAAATATACAGGACTTACCTACTTTACACCCGTTTGTCCTCCCCCATTTATAATAATGTTCTTAAGTGTTTTCTCTGCACTTAAAGCCTCTAAGATGCTGTTATAATTTTTGCTTCAATAGTAAGTAATACTTAGAAAACCTAAGGAGAAGGCCAGACACGATGGCTCATCCCTGCAGTCCCAGCACTTTCGGAGGCCAAGGTGGGTGGAGGACTTGAGGCCAGGAGTTGTAGACCAGTCTGGCCAACATGGTGAAACCCCATGTCTATTGAAAATACAAAATTTAGGCATGCATGGTGGTGCATACCTGTAATCCCAGCTACTCAAGAGGCTGAGGTAGGAGAATCATTTGAACCTGGGAGGCAGAGGTTGCAGTGAGCTGAGATCAAGCCACTGCACTCCAGACTGGATGATGGGGTGAGACCCTGTCTCAAAAAAGAAAAAAATAAAAACTTAAGGAGATGAAGAGAAGTCTACTGTAATTACACCTGATTTTGCTTATCATTTTATTTTCTTCCATCCTGCTCTTCCAAGGTTCTTACTTGTACTATTTTCTTTCTGTTTAGAAAAGTTTCTTTAGTCATTCTTTTTAGGATGAATATACTGGTGATAGATTTTCTTAGTTCTTCTTCATCTTAGGATTGATTTCCTCCACCCCACCCCACACTTCACTGCTAAAGATAATTTTACTCAACACATAATTCCTAGTTGACTTCTTTGTTTCCTCTAAAAACTTGAAAAATATTATACCCCCTTCCTTTTGGCTTCCATGGCTCCTGATGAAAAATCAGCTCTCATTTGAATTGCTGATTTCCTCTAAGTAAAGTAGTTTCTGTTTGACTGGTTTCAAGATTTTTCTTTATCTTTAGTTTTTAGAAACTTGCTTATGTGCCTTGGTTTTCACTGAGGAGGTGGAAGTACATTGTGCTGGTTAGGGTTCACTCAGGTTCTTCTATATCTGAAGAGGTATGTCTTTTACCAAGTTTGCACAAGGTTTCATCCATTGTTTTGAGTGCTTTTTTAAACCTGCCCTTTCTCCTTCCCTTCTGAAACTCTTGTGACACAAATTTTAGATATTTTTTTTAATAATCTGAGAGGTCCTGGAGGCTTTGCTGATTTTATTTTGGATTTTCTGCCTATTGATTAGATTCGGTAATTGCCATTGTTTTCTTGCCCAGTCACTGACTCTTTTTTCTATTCTGTTCATTCTGATGCTGTGCCCATCCACCAAGTTTTTTATTTGTCATTGTATTTTCCAGTTATATAAATTTTGTTTGATTCTTCTTTATATTTATTTATTTCCTGGAAGTTTCTAATCCCTTTCTAAAAATTTCTGTTTTTTTTCATTTTTTCAATTATATTTGCCATTTCTCATTATATTGTTTTTAGGATGGCTACTTTAACATCTTTGCAGATAATTCTAACATCACTGTCATCTTGATGTTGACATGAGTATTAGTTTCCTAGGATTCTCATGATAAACTGACACACACTTGGTGGCTTAAACCAAATAAATGTATTCTTTTATAATTCTAGAGATTAGAAGTCTAAAATTAAAGGGTCAGCAGGGGCATGCTTCCTCTGAAGGATCTAGGGAAGAATCTTTTATGTGTCTTCCACCTTCTCATGACCTTGTGGTTGTATAACTTCAATGTCTCCCTCTATCCTCGCATTACCTCTTCTCTTAGTGTTTCTATGTCTGGTGAGGACATTATCATTGGATTTAGGGCTCACCCTAATCCAAGACGACCTTACTTTGAGGTCTTTACATTAATATGCAACGACTCATTACTTCCAAATAAGTTCACATTCTTAAGTTCTATGTGAACATAAATTTTGGGGGGCTACTATTAAACCCACTATAATATTTATGGATTGTTTTTATTATTTAGTTTGAGATTCTTCTGGTTTTTGTTATGACTAGTGATTTCCAATTATAACATGGACATTGTAGATATTATATTAGTTATGAAACTATGGGCATTTTGTAATAATTTTGCATTATCTGGCTGATGTTGAAATTCTCAGTAAGAGCGTGAAATTTAGCCTTGTTACTGCCCCGTAAGGGTAGAAGAAGTTCAGGCTCCCCACATAGTCTCCACAGATAGCACAAAAGGGGACTAATTACCTCCACTGGAGTTAAAGATTTTAGCTATTGACATTGATTTGGCTTTCTCTGGAACTACTCTAGTGGGAATTTGGAGGCATCTCACTATAGTCTGGTGACAGTAGAAATTTAGGCTCCTGCTTGGCCTTTGCTGATATGAGTGTGTGGGGTCACCAATGATTCTGTGTGTTTGGCAGAATTATAGCAGTTATTGTCTAAAGTCTTCTGTCTGCAGTGCTGCATGTTTCCTAGTCCTTTGGCTAGAGAGATCAGGCTTCTTTTGTGGCTTTGCCTGCATACATGGGAATTTCTAGGTCGCCATCTTCTTCAGCGTTGTGTCAGGGATATGTAAGGCAAAAAGGAAATTCAGAGACGTTGTCACTATTGTTTCTTAGCTCCTGAGTTTCCCATATCATCTGCATTTATCTCTCCACCTTCCAGAATGTTCTTATGTCATATGTACACAGACACACATACGTGTGTATAGTGTGTATATATATGTGTGTGTGTGTGTGTGTGTGTGTGTGTGTGTGTGTGTTGCCCAGGTTTTTAATTGTAATTGATGGAAGAAATAAGAGAAAAGTACACGTATTTCATCTTTCTGGAAGTGGAGGTCTTTCTGTGTAGGTACTTTAGAAATACAGATTCCCAGTCTCTATGCATAAACTTGACTCAGTAGCTCTAAATCAGAGTTCATGAATCTGCAGTTTAAACAGTCTCCATCAGGATATCTAGTGATATCTAAATTTGATCACTAATCTTTGATTTCAAATATTTTAAAGAATTATTTGATTCTTGCAATTTATGGATAAAGGCTCACCTTATGTGTAAATAAGCTCAGCACAAGGAAAAATAAATCAGTGAAATGAGTTCCCATCAAGACCAGGTCAGTTTCATAACCTTCAACAATTTTTCACATACATTTGTTTGATTTCTCTAATGACTTTATAACTTTTCTAAAGAAAAGCCTGGATATCATGTTAATTCTATATTTATCTTTGCCTGTTCTCTCCTTTTAAATTTACTATGTACATAGTAAATGCTTAGGAAATATTTGTTTAATTAATAACCTCCAAATAACTCTCTTCTTCACACTATCATGTGTTTTTCAAAAGTTCAATCCATAATAATACAGCACCTGCCAAAAAACCTTCCCAGAAGGCTTCCCAACTAGAAATAGCCAGGGAGAAATTAAAATGTTGCTAAAATGACAATAGACATTAAAATTAATTCCAACTGTTAGAATCTTGGATACATGGAGATTGATTCTGAAAGTTAGGGAGTCTCATCAGACATCAGATCATGTCATACTCCACATTCACCTTCTGTAATCCTCAGAGTCTACACTGGTCAGGAAAAGAAAGAACTGTGCCTTTTCTCCTGCTTTGCTCCAGAATGCCACCATCATTCTTATGCAGGAGTTCAAATACTAGAAGAGTCTAAGCAGTCAGACAAGGCATCGTCACGATGACGCAGCATAGTTATGAAGTATGTTGCATTCTTATAACACTATATTTACAGTGCACAGAAACTTTTAGAGACAGATGGCCGGGGTTTAAATCTCTATTTCACTATCTCCTATCTTTGAGACTAAGTCAAGCTATTTTTCCCTGAGACTCCATTTCTTTATTTGTAGTAAATTAATAATAATGGTCTCTACCTCATATGATTGTTCTGAGCATTGGATTCATGTAAGGATATTGATAAATGACCAATAATCAATAAATGTAAGATTTTTTTTCCATGACCGTCTTGCATTAATGTAGAGTCTTTTAGAAACCTAAAACTAAAAACCATCCCTGGCATGTGTAGTTAAAAGGAGAAAGTTATTGGTTCAGCTAATAGTCAAGTCAAGTGACAAGGGTGGCTTGCAGCAGGCATGCGTTCAGATACTTAGACAATTTGTCTTTTACAGCACCTCTTCATTGTTTCTCCATATGGAGTCAAAGATGACTCATACAATCTCAAAAATTTTTTATCATGTGCTCTCATAAGAGGGAAAAAGCAGTCTCATTAAACATGCTAATCCCTGCAAAAAGAGTGTAACATATTTGAATTCATCCCTGGGCCTTGGGAACAGGGTAGAAGCATTAGGGTTCTCTCTCTGCAAAGTTTGAATTACGATTTTATCCACTCCAATGGAGGGAAGGTTGGGGGTACTGTGGTTGATAAAACTTTGCTTGGTGAAGTCAGACAATTCCAAAAATGTTGCAGGCAATAAAGGAGGTGGATTAGCATATTAAGAAATTGAAGAAAGGGATATTAGTTAGGAATCCATTAGAAACATCCGCTATAGTCCACCTATAATTCCTCTAGCATAAATACATACCATTCTTCCCAATTATATAATTTTTAAACTATCTACCTAATATAATGCAACCATTGCATGCTAAAACTAAAACATAGTTGACCTATCCTCATAGCATACAAGCTAAAACGAGCATTGAGATCAAGGCTCAGGCTTTCTAGCACATGTATGTTAAATGACTTTACAACATCCCACGGAGAATGGCAGAAGAAAACCAGAGAAAAACTTCCTGTTTGACAAGGGGAGAAAAGTGTCCTAGGTCCCATTGCCCAGCCCATGGTCCAGGTGGTGCTGATGGAATAACGGCTTGGATCAGGCCATCAACAATGTCTCCTAGTTCTACTCTCCAGGACAATCTCTTTAGTCCATTTTCCTGAACAACATTATTTGAGAGGCCTATTGGGGAGGATTTTTGTAACTGAAAAAAACACCAAGAAATCTATGTCTTCCCTTTTGGAGGTTGTGCTGTTTTAAAACCCATTTTCACTGTATGTTTGGAATTTGGGGGCTATCTACTATGTAACAAGATTTTTTATATATATATATACACACACACACACACACACACACCCATACATATACAAATATATTGGTCTTTGTCCCTGGTTTCTGACACAGAGTTCCTAAATCCAATTTTCATAAGTGATTATTGTAATAGGAACATCTTTATTATGATATTTGTTTTTTTTACAAAGCTTCTGAAACCCTTGAAGATTTCTAAGCTGTTATTCATAACGAGCCCTTTTGGTCACACCTGCATTTATGTTAATGGAGTGACTTAGAGTGAGATCCCAAACAGCCTTCAGATGGGGCTGGTTACCAGAAAGACCAAGTGATTAGAGTCTAAGAGAACTGAGTCTCCCTTTGGCAATCTTCAGGAAAGGTAGAGGTTGGGGGCTGGAAATCAAGCTCTGTAAAGCCTCTTGGACAATGAGATGAGCTTCTGAGTTGCTCAATGCATTTTTGTGCACAGTCATCTTCTCGGGGACAGAGTTCCTTCTAGACCTCACCTTATGTACCTCTTTATCTGACTATTCATTTGTATCTTTTATAATTTTTTTAAAAAGTAAGAAACTGGAAAGCATAAGTGTTTGATTTCTGTGAGCTGTCCTAGCAACTTAATCAAACCCAGGAGGGGGCAGTAGGAATCCTTGTTTGAGCACCTACTATATACCAGAAATAAAGCTAAGTGCTACGAAGAAAAAAATAAGGAAATGGAAAAGAGTCTTATTTTCATAAATTTCTAAAAAGAGTTGAAAGAAAACAGGCAATCAAGCAAATTGATATTATATTATAAAACTAATAAATTCCATTATACGATTGGTGTAATGCAGGAAATGGGAGGTAGGAAAATCACAAAATTTCTATAACAATCTGAGAAGTGTTCTGTTAGCTCACAATATTTCAGTCTGAAAGTGAAAGGTGAGAAGGGGTTAATCATGGAAAGAAGTAGGAAGAGAGAATCCTAAGCAGAGGGAATGCTAACTGAAAAGGCCACGAGCAGAGGGAAAACTTAGCAAGAGAAGGTCAGTGTGACTCAGCCACATGAGGTGACCACAGTTCTGGAATGAGAGGCAGGTGGATGAATTAAAAGTGAAGATGCACATTGACCTTCTAGGATGCATGGGCCGTGTTACCAGTTCCGGTTGAAGATTTCTGTGATATGTGTGGAGTCACCCCAATCCATTCCTGGCTCTCATTTTTCTTCTCTGTCAATTGTGCATCTCTTGATCCAATTCTGGTGGTGTGAAAGTTAAATACAAGATCATCTCTCTGAAAAAAGCTTTCATCCAGGGGATCTCTGCAACAAACACCATCACATCAGGGTGTAGTTGGGTGGTGACAGTTTCCACAGTTTATAAAGGAAGGATAAAGCTGTCGCAGGACTTTTTCCTTAGTTCAGCTAAGAGCCGGGTCCTTATCACATAGCCATGAAAAATTAGGCTCACAGATGACTTGAAGGGTGAGAATAATAGGATTTATTGGGCAAAAAGGAAAAAAGGGGGTACAGGAACTCTCTGCAAGGTCAGGGTTCCCGCTAGTGTAGGCTTCCCAAATCATAGACTGAATTCCAGGTTCCACCCAGGAAGAGGAAGGGCCAGGTTCCTACTCGCTGCAAAGAGCATGAACTTCTGTGGCTCCATCCCAGTGCTCATTCCTCCCCGTGCACAGGCTGGTTGGAGTTTTGAAAGGGAGCCTCTTCCCACCTGGCTGCCTCAGAACCATTGAGGCCCCTTGCAGGGGCCCACGCCTGTAATCTCCCAGCAGTTTGGGAGGCCGAGGCGGGTGGACCACCTGAAATGAGGATTTCGAGGTCAGTCTGACCAATATGGTGAAACCTCGTGTCTACTAAAAATACAAAAATTAGCTGGGCGTGGTAGCGGGCACCTATAAGAATCACTTGAACCCGGGGAGGCGGAGGTTGCACTGAGCCGAGATTGCGCCACTGCACTCCAGCCTGGGCGACAGAGCTAGACTTTGTCTCAAAAAAAAAAAAAGGAAGAAAAGAAAGAAAAAACAAACAAACAAACAAAAACCTCATTGAGGAGTTCTTTCCTAGGAGGAAGACAAGGAGAGGTCTGTAGAATCTGGAAGGTAACGGAAGGTTAGAGGTTTAGGAACTATAGAGATCTGTGCCCCATTTGCCTGTTGCACTCCATGTACCGGGAAGTTTCCAGGATATCTGTGAAGAATTAATAAAAAGACCAGAGGCCTCTGAGAGCTTTCCTAAGAAACTCTGCCAGCACTGAGACCCGAGGACTTTATCCCAGTGCACCGTGGTGGAAGGAGCAAAGGCAAGGGTGGTGCCCAGCAGTGATTAAAGACTACGCCCTTTTTTAATTTTGGAGGAATGGCCTTAGCTCCCAAGAATGACTGGTAGTCCCCATATGACAGGCTGAATTAGCCACTGACTTGGTCCGTGGGGTCTCAGGTTTAATTTGATTTAAAACAAACAGAGAAACTATGTTTCCATGGATCTAAATATTATAAGACAAATTATTATGATCTCTTCAAGGAAAACTAAGACATTTTTCTGGATCACGAATATTCTTAAATAAGGTAGGAGCAAAGCATGTGTACAGTCAATGATCACTTTAGAAAATGAAATAAGACTTGTCAGTGGGTAGGGAGGATGGGGAGAGTTGAGCGAGAAACTATTTAGTTGTGAATTACCAGCTAGGAAGATGGACAAAGTGACCCTGAAATAAGTTCCCGATGATAATCCCTGGGACAGATAACTCCTCTGATTTCAGGCAAGGAGACAAGAAAGGAGAGATGAAGAAAATACTCAAAAAACCATTTTTGTCTGTTTGAAAATAAAGAGAAATACAGTAAATAGAAAAAAAATAATCTCTTGCTAATTTTTCTATTTCCTACAGAAGGAGAGAAGGTAGCAGCTCCCTTACAGACCACTTTAACATGTAAGTAACACTTCGGAACCTTCTGATTTGAGGAATAAAAACCAACTATAGACTCCACCAAATGTCAGAGAAAATTGCTTTGTTCCAAATGGGCTATCTTTAGCCACATTTGTTACAATCTATTACTAATTCTGTGGACAGTGCATAAATTAGCCTCCCCTTAATTGGCAGTTCCAAAGATGTCTCCCCAGGAAACTTCCTTCTAAGGGAAGATTTAAAATTCCATTAGCAGCAATGACAATATTGTAGCCAAGAGGAGGTGGAGCTGGTCTTATCTTTTGTCTAAAATATTCAGAGTAATTGATGAGAAAGCTAGAGAGCCAGCGCCTGAGCAAGAATGAGACAGAGAGAGCAAGAGGGAGAGAGAGGCCTTTGGCTGAATGATTGATAATGGAACCTTTCTAATTACATCAGCCCCTTCCAGAGGAGACAGGTCATGGAACTTATAGATCCACAGCTGCAAGTTTAAGAGTTTTTTGACAAATAACTATAATTTAAAATACAATTATTAAAAGATAAGACGGATGTGAACAGCTTGTTTCTTTTTTCTTGTAGGAGTCCAAGAGGGATAGGGGAAACTTTGCTGCTGTAATGGAAATAAGTGTTATAACCTCAGTGACAGGGCTTGGGGTGGGTAACATTAGATTACAAAGCACTAAACCAGTGAAACTGAGATTACCTTTAACTCCATGAGACAAATGTATACCCTCTTATTTTCTACCCTCTCAATATGACTTACTTTAAAATGGTATTTTATCATCTAATTGTAAACAGCGTTCTTGCTCCTTATAGAAGTTTAAAATAAAATAATAAAATAAAATCTCTTCCACAATCAGCTGTCATGGTGAACTTCTGCCAAAGGATTTTCCCCTTTATAAATAGTTTTAAATAGTTAAGATTTATATAACCCATGCAATAATCTGATTTTGTTCCTACTTGGTATTAAAATACATTTTGTAATGCCATTAGAAACACTTTATACACTTAATTTTAATATGTCCTGAGTGTACTATTTTGACATTTGAGTTTTGTAAGTCTGTTTTTAAGTTGAATAAAAGAAAAACAATTGGCTAACCAAATATATTTTTTAAGATTTGCTATGAGGAGTTTCATTTGTTTACTATTGTAAATAACTATCTCATAAATTAACTTTATTGGATAACATCAGTTTTCCCAAATTGCTTTTCAAAACCTTTGTATCTGTTCTGTACCTTCACCATACCTCAATAAGCAAGGACTAATTTCATATTTGAGGTCTTTCTGGCTCAGGATTTGAACTTTACAAAATCACATGATGTTTCCTCAACCCAAGTCTTACATAAATTAATCTCAAAGGTGAATCACTAACTAGCAAAGGCATACTCAGGTTTGGAAAATGTCTCCCTTTCAAACCAGTTGAGCCATCAGGTTTTCTATTTCAATCCTATTTCTCTTCAAATCCCATTGATACGAGAGGGGGGCAGGGAAGTGATGGGTAGACAGGGGCGGGGTCCCTGGCGAGGGCTCCACCTGTAGGCCTGTGCCCACCTAAGTGAGAACAGGCATGCCTATTTTTGTGCCCAAATGTTGCATTTTCCAAGACCACTCTGGACTGCCACACCCCCTATCCTGTGCCCATATAAACCTGAGACCTTAAGCAGACACAGACACAAGTGGCTGGGCATTGAGAGGAGCAGAGGAACACACCAGCAGATACCAGCAGACACCGGCAGACCAGATGACATGGATGCCAAGGGGAGTTCAACCAGGGGCGGTCAGAGAAGACTCCAGCCACTGCATGGCCTGACTCCATGGGAAGATCACCTTCCCACTCCATCCCCCTTCCAACTCCCCATCCACCCTGAGAGCCACCTCCAACACTCAATAAACCTTGCACTCAACCTTCCAGCCCACGTGAGATCTAATTCTTCCAGTACACTGGGGAAGAACTCAGGCTGTCACACTGGCCTCTTGTGCTTGTAGTAAGTCAGAGGGTCTGTTGAGCTGACTAACACAAGTCATCTGCAGATGGCACAACTGAAAGAGCACAGTGTAACACATGGCCACTTGGGCTTTGGGAGTCCTAGACACTGCCGTGAGGCCAGAGTCCAAAAGCACTCCCCACAGCCTCTGCACCTGCGCATCTGCAAGCTCCCCCTAGGGGCTTGAGCAGTGGGGCACCCTAAGAAGTGAGCCACATCCCGTCACATGCTGTGCCTGTGAGGGGGATAAGGGAACTCCCCAGTTCACCATGTTTCCTTCAAAGTCTTCCCACCTTAACTGTAAAAGAAGCAATAGCAGCTCTTGCCCCTACCTTAAACCATCAGAGTTTGCATGATCAGTCTTCTAATTTTGGAAGGTTTTGTTTCTTTTTTCTCCTTTGTGAGAGAGTGTGTGTGTGTGTGTTTGTGTGTGTGTGTATGCACATGTGTGTGTGAGCGTGTGTGTGTGTGTGCCTTTGTATATTGCTTGCTGTGTTTACTGTTGGACAAATGGTAATTGATGATTTGTGGAACTATTTGCATTGATAAATATTATTTTTCCTGCTAATATTAATACAAATAATAGCCAATTTGCACTGAGTGCTTATTATATGTAGGTTGTGAAGCTGGTTTTACCAACCTAGCTGTGGCTTAATACCTTTGAACAAGTTTCTATACTTCTCTGTATCTCAATTTTGTACTCTGGAAAATGGGGGGCAATACTAGATTTCTTTCTCATGAGTTATGAAGACTTTACAAGATAATGACAATGAGAATTTTTTTTTTTTGAGACAGAGTCTTGCTCTGTCACCCAGGCTGGAGTGCAGTGGCGCGACAATGAGGAGGTTTTACAAAGAATAGCAGCACGATAAATACTTGTTAAAAGGAAAGATTGTTGGATTCTCTCATTTTGCTGATAAACGAGAGTAAATCTTGACATTTGTTCTGACAAATGCACACTGCACATGCTATGTCATTTAAGCTTCACAGCACTGTCTGACATATATGCTTATATAGACTGGAAAATTATGGCTCTTGGAGATTAAGTCATATGCCCCTGTCCTCACTTGTAACCAAGTCAGTATTCAAAGCTCGTCCCTCTCCCTAGAAGACCCGTGGGTGACCCTAATGCCTCACTGTTGCCTTTCTTTATCCCCAAAGCACATTCTCCTGTATTTGGTTTTCTTCCAATTTTGGGCCAGATACTTTCTTTGATTTGTATTGGCATGGCAATGTGGCCACCTAATAGAAGATTTGTTTTCCCAGCAATGTGTATCCCTTCCTCTGGAATTGGGTTCCCATGATATTTCAGTTGTAGAAAACATTCTATTTGTGTAAGTCTTGTCTCCTGCCTGCACAGAAGTGCTCAGAATAATGCAAACTCTCCCATGAGACATAGGATTTGCCTCTACCACAAATCACCTGGGGTATGAAAGCATAAGGAAATATCATAGGCAGTCATGGGTGAATCGGGATTTTTCCTGCAAGATTTACCTCCTACATTAATTATCTAATCAGACAACTATACTTCACATTCCCATAAGCCCAGTTCAATATATTGAATTGAATTGATTATTTTTAATATGTAGTTCATATTTGGAATTGCAATAGTTGCTGTGGATAGAGGGGCTCAAGACAAGTGAACAGGGAGAAAATCCTTACTTTCCAAAGTAATATTAAATTGCTTCTTTGGAACCTCTAGTTCAGGTGCCTAGATAATACCCAGTCTCCCCCAAATATTTTCTGATCTAGAGTCCAATGCAATCATCCTTCTACAAAAGCTACTTTAACAACAACTTGCCATCCATTTATTCAGGTGGTCACCTGAGTAAATAAATCCCGAATAACTGTTGTGCCAGGCACTGTTCTACTTGCTCAGGAAATATCAGTGAGCCAAACAGACACAGATCTTTTTCTTTCAGAACTTATATTCTAGTAGGAGAGAGGGACAAATAATTATTAATAAGCATGATACATGTGTAGATTAAAAACCATGTTAGAATAAATAAGTGCTTTGGTAACTATGTGGATGGAGTAAGAGGCATCAAAAGACAGATTGTAGAGAAGCTAACAGCGGTAACTAGGATGGGTCACATGAGTCTAATGGAAAGCTTGGGTTTGAACAAAGACTTGATGGGGACAGAGAGGAACTACAGCCAGTAGAGAGATGGGAAAGAGCATGCCTGGCAGAGGGAAGACCAAGGGCAAAGGCATAGAATGTTCCAGAATTTGTGGCCATGCTGGGTAAGGCATGTTGAGCAATATAGTATTTACTCTGAGTAAAATGGGGGCTCATAAAAGATTTTTGAGTAGAAAACTGATGTGAGCTGACTAATACTTTATCATTGGAACTCATTGGTGCCAGGCTGCTTTGGACTGAATGTTTGTGTCCCTTCCAAATTCATATGTTCAAGCTCTAACCCCCAATGTGATGGTGTTTGAAGGTGGGGCCTTCAGGAGGTAATAAGGCTAGATGGGTTAATGAGGGTGGGGCCCTCGTGATGAGATCAGTGTCCCTTTAAGAAGATGAAGAGAACAGAAGTTGAGCTTAGCTCTTTCTCCACATGAGGACACAGCAAGAAGGCAGCTGTCTGCAAATAAGGAAGAGGGTGCTCACCAGGAAATGGACTGGCTGGCACCTTGATCTTGCATTGCTGGCTTCTAGAACTGCAAGAAATATATTTCTGTTGTTTATGTTACCCCATCTATGATTTCAATTTTTGTTATAGCTGCCTGAACTGACTAAGACACGGGTCTTAATTAAAGTTACTGATTTTTAATCATCAACAATCCTGTCAGACAGCAGTAGCATCTCCTCTTACAGATAAGTAAACAAAGGTTTTAAGAGATTAGATGCCCAAGGAGTGATGCTCAAGAAATAACATAAGTAAAATCCAAACTACAACAGAAACCTACTAAAGCTGCACCACACAACACTGCTTCTTACCCTTGTCACTTTTCCACGTGTTTCCCCAGATGTCTGCAACCCCACCTCCCAGCTCCTTCTGGAGTCTCCTTATCTTTTAGAGCTGAGCTTGAACTGAGCCTCCTCAGTAGGGTCAATCCTGAACACCCTGGTTAGTGCCCCAAGTTCTCCCCTATGCTGGACATATAAAACAGCCCCTTTTTTTTCATAGTTCTTATCACAATCTGTATCTATTTATTTGTTTACTTACTGATATTCTATCTGCTACTCCAAATACAAGCTAAATTACTATAATTGATTTGTGAATGTTGCAAACCTAGCACAATGCCTGGTATTTTGTGGGTGTTAAATATTTATGAAAATAGAGAATAATGAATACTTAAAACAATATCACAAGAATAAACAAAGTTAGTTTCATTATTTTTACAATTAAAACAAAAATGCCTCTTGTATTAGTCCTTTTCATGCTGCTGATAAAGACATACTCGAGACTGGGTAATTTATACAGGAAAAAGGGTTTAATGGATTCAGTTCCACATGGGTGGAGAGGCCTCACAATCATGGCGGAAGGCAAGGAGGAGCAAGTCACGTCTTACATGGATGGCAGCAGGCAAAGAGAGAGAGAACTTGTGCAGGGGAACTCCTCTTTATGAAACGATCAGATCTCATGAGACTTATTCACTGTCACAAGAACAGCATGGGAAAGACTTCCCCCGTGATTCCCTTATCTCACACTTGGTCCCTCCCAGAACACATGGGAATTCAGGATGAGATTTGGGTGGGGACACAGCCAAACCATATCAGTTCTTTACTGTCTACACAACAAAAGTTCAAGCCCTTCCTATATATATACAACCCTCACAGTCTACCAACAAACCTTTGATCTCCCTACTGGAAAATATCTCTGATATGTCCAAACCATTATTTATCTTTGATGAAGCATGTAATTTCTGATGCATTAGTTTCTTCACTAGAATTAAGTTTCTAAGGTGCAGAATCTGTGGTTTTGTTCAACTTTAAATTTTACTAACTCAAGGCACATAGAAAAGTACACAGAAAAATACATTAAATATAATGTATATAATGTATTATATGTAGTATACGATTATATATAGTATAACACATACGTACATATGCACATATATACATATAGTCATACTACATATAATATAGTATATAGTATATATAATTATAACATATTTATATATAGTACATATATTATACTTATAAATTAAAATATATATTATATAATATCAAATTAAAATGTTTAAAATTAGAAAGAGTCTATTACATTAATGTTGGGCATTCATGTTGCTCTTCCATGAACTCAGGACTTTGGTCACTCTCCATTAAGTATTACTTAAACCACCATTGATTCACCCAAGGGTTCTCTGCAGTAGGCACTATGACTGTAACCTTGTTTTAGAAATGAGGAACCTGAAGTGAACGAGGTAGACACTTGCCTAAGAACGCCTACGTGGGAAGCAGTGGGGAGGGCATTTGAACTGAGGTTGTCTGTCATAGGATCCTATGCAGTTAAACACAATGGAACAGCTGCCTCCTCATTACACATATAGTAGAAGGTAATGCTGTCCCTGTTTTCCAGATGTGGACTCTATCAGGAATGATAGAGTACAAAAGCCCATGTTATTTCTGTCAAATAAACTTCCCTGCCCTGGCTTAACTTTGTTATTTTTGTCTGAGAATTGTAGATTCTAGAATTTTCAACAGTAGTTACACTGAAATTTTATCAATATGTCTAGGAGAAGCAAATACACTGAGCTCTAGGCAAGTTTGTGTAAGAGCAAAAAGCCAGTGAGATTTACCCCCCAGGAACTCCGAATAGAAATGAGACTTGCTGAGCTAAATGAGACTATGTGTTAAAAATGAAAGCGTGGAGGCCTGGAGAAAGCCAGAAACTCGTTGTGTGTTATAGCCAATGAGCTTTCCCCTGCCTGGGAAGCCAGTTCTTAGGACTTTACTGCCTTAACCTCTACCCCTCCCTGAAAGAGCCGGGTAGATCTGAAACCATTAGTTTGGTATTAGAACAAGCTGAGTCATCCTCTCTAAAGTGACGTTAAAGAGACAGACATGTGCAAAAGGTCAAGTTGCTTAGTTGAAACCGAGACTTTCTTTTATTTGATTATTATGATAATACTGACAGTTATAATAATCTCTGCCACAGAACTGATGCTGGCTATTCAATAAAAATTGAATAATGTACCACAGCTTTTTGACATTGCTGCCCTGCTTAATGGAAACAGTGTGTAGAAACACACATATACACAATTATGAAAGTCTGGCAAAGGAATTACTGCAAATGCGGAAAATCAAATAGTGCATTAAGCTCAATGTTAAGCCTTAAAACTACCAAGAGATTTGAGGAATGCTAAGAAGGAGGTTGCTGAAGAAACACTATGTGAAGACGCTATAGCTTGAGAGGAAAATGGGTACAGGTTCAAAACCAGAAAATATGTTTTCCAATCAGTTTTACAAAGCCCTACATCAACTTTATATCAAGCTCTTTCATAGAGTACAGATCAAAATACAAAAAATGCTAAGGCCCCATCTTTAAGAATATTTCAATACAATAATGGATAGGGAGAAACATAAACATTTGCAATATAATACGGTCTTTGCAATACAAAAATGGTGCTCTCTGAGGTCAGAGAAGGAGCTCTTTAGTCTGTCTGAGCAAAGCAAAAACTTTTTTTTACACTGGAGAAAAGATACTAGCTTAACACTAAGTTGAATCTAAGACCAAATCAAATAAAAAGGGATGATTTTGAGCATGCAATAACACAGTTGATCAAAGTGGGAGGTCACAGACAGTTGCATGGAGTAGAAGCATACATTTGGGGTGGGGAGTGGTTGGTAATTGGGCAGGAGAAAATTCTGGAAGAGTCAGGGCCACAGGTAGAGGACTTACATGCTCACAGAAACAAACTTGCTCTGCTCTAGAGAGAGTGTCGGGGCATGAAGGGGCCAGGGAGACCGGACTAACTCCAAAGGGGAAGTTGAGGACACGGATACTTCTAATAAATGGAATTTCATTTTATAGACTGTATATTTTAAAGAATTACAATATGAAGATACAAAACTTTTTAGAGATTATGCAGTTTTCATTATTTTCAGCAACAAAATCACACCATGATGGAAACATTTCAAAGGATCATATGCAATATGCTATGTATTTAATGAATTGTTATGAAAAAAGAGATATTCATCCCTAAAATGCCATCTTTTCCCTAAAGATGTGGCTATGGATACAGAGATAGATAAAGATACAGAGATATAGACAGACACATGTATATAGATATGGGATCTAATATAGATTAAAACATAAAGATTTAGATAGATGTGTAAATAAATAATTATCTTTAACTTCATATAAACATATGTATGTAAAGACAGATAAATATAAACAGAAAAAATGGATATACATTTATCATTATACAGATATAGGTATATACTGTATCAGTCAAGCTTTCCATAAATATAGAGAGAAGAGAAAAAAAAAGATAGAAAAAGAATGAGATTTCTCTTAAGGAATTTATTATTGCAATTGTTAAGACTGGCAAGTACAAAATCTACATAGCGGGCCAGCACATTAGAAATTCATGCAATTTTTCTTGAGGCAGAATTAAAATCTTGAGGCAGAATTCCTTCTTTTCCAGGAAAACTACCTTTTTTGCTCTAAAGACCTCTAAATGAATGGATGATACCCACCTGTATGATGGAGAACACTCTCCTTTACTTAAACCTAATTGATTATAAATGTAAATCAGAAGGAGGAGCCAAGATGGCCGAATAGGAACAGCTCCGGTCTACAGCTCCCAGCGTGAGCGACGCAGAAGACGGGTGATTTCTGCATTTCCATCTGAGGTACTGGGTTCTTCTCACTAGGGAGTGCCAGACAGTGGGCGCAGGCCAGTGTGTGTGCGCACCGTGCGCGAGCCGAAGCAGGGCGAGGCATTGCCTCACCTGGGAAGCGCAAGGGGTCAGGGAGTTCCCTTTCCGAGTCAAAGAAAGGGGTGACGGACGCACCTGGAAAATCGGGTCACTCCCACCAGAATATTGCGCTTTTCAGACCGGCTTAAGAAACGGCGCACCACGAGACTATATCCCACACCTGGCTCAGAGGGTCCTACGCCCACGGAATCTCGCTGATTGCTAGCACAGCAGTCTGAGATCAAACTGCAAGGCGGCAACGAGGCTGGGGGAGGGGCGCCCGCCATTGCCCAGGCTTGCTTAGGTAAACAAAGCAGCCGGGAAGCTCCAACTGGGTGGAGCCCACCACAGCTCAAGGAGGCCTGCCTGCCTCTGTAGGCTCCACCTCTGGGGGCAGGGCACAGACAAACAAAAAGACAGCAGTAACCTCTGCAGACTTAAGTGTCCCTGTCTGACAGCTTTGAAGAGAGCAGTGGTTCTCCCAGCACGCAGCTGGAGATCTGAGAACGGGTAGACTGCCTCCTCAAGTGGGTCCCTGACCCCTGACCCCCGAGCAGCCTAACTGGGAGGCACCCCCCAGCAGGGGCACACTGACACCTCACACGGCAGGGTATTCCAACAGACCTGCAGCTGAGGGTCCTGTCTGTTAGAAGGAAAACTAACAACCAGAAAGGACATCTACACCGAAAACCCATCTGTACATCACCATCATCAAAGACCAAAAGTAGATAAAACCACAAAGATGAGGAAAAAACAGAACAGAAAAACTGGAAACTCTAAAACGCAGAGCGCCTCTCCTCCTCCAAAGGAACGCAGTTCCTCACCAGCAACAGAACAAAGCTGGATGGAGAATGATTTTGACGAGCTGAGAGAAGAAGGCTTCAGACGATCAAATTACTCTGAGCTACGGGAGGACATTCAAACCAAAGGCAAAGAAGTTGAAAACTTTGAAAAAAATTTAGAAGAATGTATAACTAGAATAACCAATACAGAGAAGTGCTTAAAGGAGCTGATGGAGCTGAAAACCAAGGCTCGAGAACTACATGAAGAATGCAGAAGCCTCAGGAGCCGATGCGATCCACTGGAAGAAAGGGTATCAGCAATGGAAGATGAAATGAATGAAATGAAGCGAGAAGGGAAGTTTAGAGAAAAAAGAATAAAAAGAAATGAGCAAAGCCTCCAAGAAATATGGGACTATGTGAAAAGACCAAATCTACGTCTGATTGGTGTACCTGAAAGTGATGTGGAGTATGGAACCAAGTTGGAAAACACTCTGCAGGATATTATCCAGGAGAACTTCCCCAATCTAGCAAGGCAGGCCAACATTCAGATTCAGGAAATACAGAGAACGCCACAAAGATACTCCTCGAGAAGAGCAACTCCAAGACACATAATTGTCAGATTCACCAAAGTTGAAATGAAGGAAAAAATGTTAAGGGCAGCCAGAGAGAAAGGTCGGGTTACCCTCAAAGGAAAGCCCATCAGACTAACAGCGGATCTCTCGGCAGAAACCCTACAAGCCAGAAGAGAGTGGGGGCCAATATTCAACATTCTTAAAGAAAAGAATTTTCAACCCAGAATTTCATATCCAGCCAAACTAAGCTTCATAAGTGAAGGAGAAATGAAATACTTTATAGACAAGCAAATG
Source organism: Homo sapiens (assembly GCF_000001405.40). Taxonomy (NCBI): domain Eukaryota; kingdom Metazoa; phylum Chordata; class Mammalia; order Primates; family Hominidae; genus Homo; species Homo sapiens. Next base: position 136,442,293 of record NC_000008.11, on the reverse strand, counting down.
CTGAGAGATTTTGTCACCACCAGGCCTGCCCTAAAAGAGCTCCTGAAGGAAGCGCTAAACATGGAAAGGAACAACCGGTACCAGCCGCTGCAAAACCATGCCAAAATGTAAAGACCATCGAGACTAGGAAGAAACTGCATCAATTAATGAGCAAAATCACCAGCTAACATCATAATGACAGGATCAAATTCACACATAACAATATTAACTTTAAATATAAATGGACTAAATTCTGCAATTAAAAGACACAGACTGGCAAGTTGGATAAAGAGTCAAGACCCATCAGTGTGCTGTATTCAGGAAACCCATCTCACGTGCAGAGACACACATAGGCTCAAAATAAAAGGATGGAGGAAGATCTACCAAGCAAATGGAAAACAAAAAAAGGCAGGGGTTGCAATCCTAGTCTCTGATAAAACAGACTTTAAACCAACAAAGATCAAAAGAGACAAAGAAGGCCATTACATAATGGTAAAGGGATCAATTCAACAAGAGGAGCTAACTATCCTAAATATTTATGCACCCAATACAGGAGCACCCAGATTCATAAAGCAAGTCCTGAGTGACCTACAAAGAGACTTAGACTCCCACACATTAATAATGGGAGACTTTAACACCCCACTGTCAACATTAGACAGATCAACGAGACAGAAAGTCAACAAGGATACCCAGGAATTGAACTCAGCTCTGCACCAAGCAGACCTAATAGACATCTACAGAACTCTCCACCCCAAATCAACAGAATATACATTTTTTTCAGCACCACACCACACCTATTCCAAAATTGACCACATAGTTGGAAGTAAAGCTCTCCTCAGCAAATGTAAAAGAACAGAAATTATAACAAACTATCTCTCAGACCACAGTGCAATCAAACTAGAACTCAGGATTAAGAATCTCACTCAAAGCCGCTCAACTACATGGAAACTGAACAACCTGCTCCTGAATGACTACTGGGTACCTAACGAAATGAAGGCAGAAATAAAGATGTTCTTTGAAACCAACGAGAACAAAGACACCACATACCAGAATCTCTGGGACGCATTCAAAGCAGTGTGTAGAGGGAAATTTATAGCACTAAATGCCTACAAGAGAAAGCAGGAAAGATCCAAAATTGACACCCTAACATCACAATTAAAAGAACTAGAAAAGCAAGAGCAAACACATTCAAAAGCTAGCAGAAGGCAAGAAATAACTAAAATCAGAGCAGAACTGAAGGAAATAGAGACACAAAAAACCCTTCAAAAAATCAATGAATCCAGGAGCTGGTTTTTTGAAAGGATCAACAAAATTGATAGACCACTAGCAAGACTAATAAAGAAAAAAAGAGAGAAGAATCAAATAGACACAATAAAAAATGATAAAGGGGATATCACCACCGATCCCACAGAAATACAAACTACCATCAGAGAATACCACAAACACCTCTACGCAAATAAACTAGAAAATCTAGAAGAAATGGATACATTCCTCGACACATACACTCTCCCAAGACTAAACCAGGAAGAAGTTGAATCTCTGAATAGACCAATAACAGGCTCTGAAATTGTGGCAATAATCAATAGTTTACCAACCAAAAAGAGTCCAGGACCAGATGGATTCACAGCCGAATTCTACCAGAGGTACAAGGAGGAACTGGTACCATTCCTTCTGAAACTATTCCAATCAATAGAAAAAGAGGGAATCCTCCCTAACTCATTTTATGAGGCCAGCATCATTCTGATACCAAAGCTGGGCAGAGACACAACCAAAAAAGAGAATTTTAGACCAATATCCTTGATGAACATTGATGCAAAAATCCTCAATAAAATACTGGCAAACCGAATCCAGCAGCACATCAAAAAGCTTATCCACCATGATCAAGTGGGCTTCATCCCTGGGATGCAAGGCTGGTTCAATATACGCAAATCAATAAATGTAATCCAGCATATAAACAGAGCCAAAGACAAAAACCACATGATTATCTCAATAGATACAGAAAAAGCCTTTGACAAAATTCAACAACCCTTCATGCTAAAAACTCTCAATAAATTAGGTATTGATGGGACGTATTTCAAAATAATAAGAGCTATCTATGACAAACCCACAGCCAATATCATACTGAATGGGCAAAAACTGGAAGCATTCCCTTTGAAAACTGGCACAAGACAGGGATGCCCTCTCTCACCGCTCCTATTCAACATAGTGTTGGAAGTTCTGGCCAGGGCAATCAGGCAGGAGAAGGAAATAAAGGGTATTCAATTAGGAAAAGAGGAAGTCAAATTGTCCCTGTTTGCAGACGACATGATTGTTTATCTAGAAAACCCCATCGTCTCAGCCCAAAATCTCCTTAAGCTGATAAGCAACTTCAGCAAAGTCTCAGGATAGAAAATCAATGTACAAAAATCACAAGCATTCTTATACACCAATAATGGAAAAACAGAGAGCCAAATCATGAATGAACTCCCATTCACAATCGCTTCAAAGAGAATAAAATACCTAGGAATCCAACTTACAAGGGATGTGAAGGACCTCTTCAAGGAGAACTACAAACCACTGCTCAAGGAAATCAAAGAGGACACAAACAAATGGAAGAACATTCCATGCTCATGGGTAGGAAGAATCAATATCGTGAAAATGGCCATACTGCCCAAGGTAATTTACAGATTCAATGCCATCCCCATCAAGCTACCAATGACTTTCTTCACAGAATTGGAAAAAACTACTTTAAAGTTCATATGGAACCAAAAAAGAGCCTGCATTGCCAAGTCAATCGTAAGCCAAAAGAACAAAGCTGGAGGCATCACACTACCTGACTTCAAACTATACTACAAGGCTACAGTAACCAAAACAGCATGGTACTGGTACCAAAACAGAGATATAGATCAATGGAACAGAACAGAGCCCTCAGAAATAATGCCGCATATCTACAACTATCTGATCTTTGACAAACCTGAGAAAAACAAGGAATGGGGAAAGGATTCCCTATTTAATAAATGGTGCTGGGAAAACTGGCTAGCCATATGTAGAAAGCTGAAACTGGATCCCTTTCTTACACCTTATACAAAAATCAATTCAAGATGGATTAAAGATTTAAATGTTAAACCTAAAACCATAAAAACCCTAGAAGAAAACCTAGGCATTACCATTCAGGACATAGGCGTGGGCAAGGACTTCATGTCCAAAACACCAAAAGCAATGGCAACAAAAGACAAAATTGACAAATGGGATCTAATTTAACTAAAGAGCTTCTGCACAGCAAAAGAAACTACCATCAGAGTGAACAGGCAACCTACAACATGGGAGAAAATTTTCGCAACCTACTCATCTGACAAAGGGCTAATATCCAGAATCTACAATGAACTCAAACAAATTTACAAGAAAAAAACAAACAACCCCATCAAAAAGTGGGCAAAGGACATGAACAGACACTTCTCAAAAGAAGACATTTATGCAGCCAAAAAACACATGAAGAAATGCTCATCATCACTGGCCATCAGAGAAATGCAAATCAAAGCCACTATGAGATATCATCTCACACCAGTTAGAATGGCAATCATTAAAAAGTCAGGAAACAACAGGTGCTGGAGAGGATGCGGAGAAATAGGAACACTTTTACACTGTTGGTGGGACTGTAAACTAGTTCAACCATTGTGGAAGTCAGTGTGGCGATTCCTCAGGGATCTAGAACTAGAAATACCATTTGACCCAGCCATCCCATTACTGGGTATATACCCAAATGAGTATAAATCATGCTGCTATAAAGACACATGCACACGTATGTTTATTGCGGCACTATTCACAATAGCAAAGACTTGGAACCAACCCAAATGTCCAACAATGATAGACTGGATTAAGAAAATGTGGCACATATACACCATGGAATACTATGCAGCCATAAAAAATGATGAGTTCATATCCTTTGTAGGGACATGGATGAAATTGGAAACCATCTTTCTCAGTAAACTATCGCAAGAACAAAAAACCAAACACCGCATATTCTCACTCATAGGTGGGAATTGAACAATGAGATCACATGGACACAGGAAGGGGAATATCACACTCTGGGGACTGTGGTGGGGTCGGGGGAGGGGGGAGGGATAGCATTGGGAGATATACCTAATGCTAGATGACACATTAGTGGGTGCAGTGCACCAGCATGGCACATGTATACATATGTAACTAACCTGCACAATGTGCACATGTACCCTAAAACTTAGAGTATAAAAAAAAAAAAAAATTCTGCATTAGGTTCAATACTATCTCATAAAGACTTGACCAGTGTTTCACCTGGGGGCATATACCTCTCCAATTTCCTATTACAGTCTCTAATCTGTGAGTTAAATGTCTACAGTTCCTAAACAATTCACCTGTTTTTTTTTTTTTTGGACAGAGTATCCCTGTGTCACCAGGCTGGAGTGCAGTGGTGCGATCTTGGCTCACTGCAACCTCTGCCTCCTGGGTTCAAGTGATTCTCCTGCCTCAGCCTCCTGAATAGATGAGACTACAGGCATGCACCACGACGCCCAGCTAGTTTTTGTATTTTTAGTAGAGATGGGGTTTCACCATGGTGGCCATGATGGTCTCAATCTCTTGACCTCCTGATGTGCCCACCTCAGCCTCCCAAAGTGCTGGGATTACAGGCGTGGGCCACCGCACCCCACCACCATTCATCTTAATATGTAAGATTATGTAAAATGAACTGAGAAGGCTGAGTCTTTTAGAATTGACCTCATGCAACTCACACAGATGTGTGGAACTAATGAAGAAATATGGGGCATACCAAAGAAGCCCAATTTATTTTAGCCTCATCCATTTTATAAGGCAAAAATTGTCACAGTTTTTCTAGAGGTCACCTAGGAAATCTAAAAAATTCTTATTTTTCCCTAAAAATCAGAAAATATTTACTTTTTGGAATTTAAGATATAATTTCAGATGGGCAAAAATTAAGTGTTATCAGAGGAGATTTGGTCACTGCGATAAAGATAGGAACACAGGTACAGAGAAGAAAATGGTGGCAATAATCCCAATGACAATACAATATTCTAAAATAAGCATAGAAAAATATATCATAATTGTTAGAAAATGTATCCGTTTCATAATTAATTATGCTGTACAAATGTTTTTTTCTTATTTTTCTTTCTAGCTTCATTGAAGTATGATTGATAAATAAAAATTGTACATATTTAAGTTAAAAAAAAAATAAATAAATAAATGTAAATCACATCTACAATATACCTTTACAGCAATATCTGGACTTGTGTTTGATCAAACTGTGCACCATAACCTAACCAAGATGACACAACTTTGACCATCTCACATATATTGCTAAATATAAGACAGAGATAGAGATAGACAAATATTTACCTGTTTATATCAATTTTTAGAGTAATGTAAATATCTATATATTTATATTTCTCTATACACCTCTGAGATGGATACTTAGATCTATCCATCTTTATCTGTATTTAGAGACATAGACTGCAGGCATGCATAGATATCTTTATCTATCAAGATATACATATCTACATCTATCTAACTATCTGTTCATATCAGTATAGAAATAGATGGATACAGAGATACAAAGATAGATAATCTGATTTTTTTTTGAGATGACGTCCGCCCCGGCTGGTGTGCAGTGGTGCAATCTCAGCTACTGCAACCTCCACCTCCTGGGTTCAAGCGATCCTCCTGCCTCAGCCTCTCAAGTAGCTGGGATTACAGGCATGCGCCACCATGCCCAGATAATTTTTGTACTGTTAGCAGAGACAAGGTTTCACCATGCTGGTCAGGCTGGTCTCAAACTCCTGACCACAGGTGATCTTGCCTCGGCCTCCCAAGGTGCTGGGATTACAGGGGTGAACCACTGCTCTCAGCCAGATAATCTAATCTTAAGTAGCATACTAGTAATAACTACGTCTCAACACAGAAAATGCCAGCCAGTGTGGGACATTTGTATAGAACCAGGGCTTCCAGTTGACGATCAAAGCTGCTCTGGTATGTCAAATACATATAATTTATCAACACAGCCTTGACTGGATTGCAGTATTTTGGGGAGGGTTTGAGTTTGTACCTCGGCTTCTGTGAATGATGTCCAGTAAACACAGAGTTCATCTGATGATGGTCCCACTGCTGCCTCTTGTATGTACTAGACATCACAGTTTGCACAGCTGCTACTTCTGAGCCTGGGCCTCAGCTTTGTGGTCATGGACACTCCAAAGACTTCCAAATAATCTGTCATGAGATAACCAAACAAATGTCACACAGTTTAAAGTTTGACATCATTGCCTACCATCTCATTAAAAGTCCTATAAAGGGTCTACTGTTTATTGTCTTTGTTTAATTAATGTCACCATATCGATGACATACTGTGATGCTTATATGACTGTATGTCATAATAGCTCAAAAATGGATACATGAGCGGCCCCCAGTAGTTAGACAAGATTGTGGAATTTCCATCCTTCTTTCAGTAGGGTTTATTGCTCCTTGTCAATTCTTGTAGAATTCTTAATATATTCTTTTCTTAATTTTAGATTTACAATATAAATCAAAGCCTTCTTATTTGCTCCCTGCACAATTTAGAGAGCCTTGACTTGTGGTGCTGTGCCACAAGGGGCCTGCAGAAACTGAAGGGTTGGAAGAATATTGCTGTGCAGGCAAGAAGATAGAGTGGTTATGGAGAAGCCCGTGGAGAGAGAAAGAGGCCAGATCATAAAGATATTTGGACTCCAGGTTAGGAATTTTAATTTTGAATGTGTGTGAGGGGTGGGTAGGGGTTCCAGGTTAGACTCTTTTTGTATTTTCTGAGGTCATACTTGCCACAAAATGCATCTTGTGGCTAGAGAATATTTATCAGGCTATTACCATGAGCCAGGTAAAAGAGGAGTTGGAATCTGGGGCAAGCCTGAGTCAGAGAGATCAATGGGCCACTGGAAATCTTATGTAATGAGGAAGCATATTGTGACTGGTTGTTACCTGTTGTTTCATAAACTTTGCAGCTGCTTTAACTAAGATGGTAACAGACCTTCTACTTATATATTATGCAGATGGTGGCACAGTGCAATTTCCAAAGTCTCTGGGTACTTGGAAACTTTTTCAGAAGAGTCCCTTGTCTCTGGCACACAAGAACCATAACCTTCAAAAGATGGCAGGTGCATGCTAAAGAAGGTGTTGGTGGCTTCTGCCATGACTTATCCACCTGGAGTAGCACATAGCACCTAGTATAACATTGGACTCTAGACTCTAATGGAACAGTCCCATCTCTTGCTCTGGCATTTATTAGCATTATGATGTTGAGTGAATTTTCTTCACTTTTCTGATCCTATTTTTTATCCTCTGACATTCCCTATGCAGTGCAATAAGAATTAAACGGACTGATGTATGTCATAGCTATCACAACATCTGACACAAAGGATGTGCTTCCTACACCATGCTCCATTTGCACTCCCCTCTTTAAATTTTACTGATATATCAATAATCTCACTCTATGTGATCAGAGAACAAAAATATCAGAGCGTTGCACAGGCCACACACAGAACAGAACATTTTTTAGAGAGTCAGTAAGATTGAAAATCTCCATCTCAGTTAAACAACAGTGTGCCCATTTATGCAAACCTAGCCATAGACTTAACCTGAACTCCATTGTCACAACCCAATAAGTCAAACTAAACAATTACCTTTTTATAGGCATCCTTGTAATTGCAACAAAGCTTTAAGGACAGATTCTCAGGGAGATCTATGCTGTGAATATTAAAAACATAGATTAACCATATAAAATTGCTCTTTGCCTTGATTAAAACAAGCAAATATTGGCAATATCGTGTGGCTTAACTTACTACCATCTCTGAGGTGGAGTCTGACAATTATGTCAAAACTCAAAAAAAAATAATGACCTTCTCTCACCTACATACAGTTTCTTTTTTTATTTTTTAATTTTTATGGGTACATAGTAGGTGTATATATTTATGAGGTCCATGAAATATTTTGATACAGGCATGCAATGTGTAATAATCACATCATAGAAAATGGAGTATCCATCCCCTCAAGCATTTACCCTTTGTGTTCAAACAATCCCATTATACTCTTTTAGTTATTTTAAAATGTACAATTAAATTATTAGTGACTATAATCACCCTGTTGTGCTATCAAACACTAGGACTTATTCATTTTTTCTGCCAATTTTTTTGTATCCATTAACCATCCCAAAATTCCCCCGCCACCCCCACCTAAATACCCTTCCCAGCCTCTAGTAACCATCCTTCTACTCTCTATGTTCATGAGTTCAATCATTTTGGTTTTTAGATCCCAATATGAATGAAAAAAGATGATGCTTGTCTTTCTCTGTCTGGCTTATTTCACTTAGCATAATGATCTCCAGTCTCATTCTTTTTATGACTGAACAGTACACCGTTGTGTATATGTCCCACATTTTCTTTATCCATTTATCTGTTGACAGACACTTAAGTTGCTTCCAAATCTTGGCTATTGTGAACAGCGCTGAAACAAACATAGGAGTGCAGACATCTCTCCCATATACTAATTTTCTTTCTTTTGGGTATATACCCAGAAGTGGGATTGCTGGATCATGTGGTAGCTCTATTTTAGTTTTTTGAGGAACCTCCAAACTCTTCTCCATAGTGTTTGTACTAATTTACATTCCCACCGACAGTGTAAAAGGGTTCCCTTTTCTCCATATCCTCGCCAGCATTTGTCTTATGCCTGTCTTATGGATATAAGCCATTTTAACTGGGGTGAGATGATATCTCATTGTAGTTTTGATTTGCATTTCTCAGTATATTAGCTGTGGTCCTATCATCTATGGCTTTTATTATGTTGAGCTATATTCCTTCTGTAGCCATTGTCTTGAGGATTTTTATCATGAATGGATGTTAAATTTTATCAAGTGCTGTTTCAGCACCAATTAAAATGATCATATGATTTTTGTCCTTTATTCTGTTGATATGATGTATTACAGTAATTGATTTGCATATATTGGACCACCTTGCATCCGTGGGATAAATGACACTTGGTCATGATGATTGATCTTTTTAAATGTATTGCCGAATACCAGTTTGCTAGTATTTTCTTGTGGATTGTTGTATCAATATTTATGAGAGACACTGGCCTGAGTTTCCTTTTTTGATATGTCTTTGCCCGATTTTAGTATCAGGGTAATACTTTATAGAATGAGTTTGGAAGTATTCCCTCTTCCTCTATTTCTCAGAATAGTTTGAGTATGATTGGTATTAGTTCTTTTTCAAAAGTTTGATAGGATTCGGGGTGAAGCCATCAGGTGCCAGGCTTTTCTTTGCTGGGATAATTTTTATTATGGCTTTGATATCATTACTTGTTATTGGTCTCGTCAGGTTTTGGATTTCTTCAGAGTTCAATCTTGGTAGATTGTGTGTGTCTAGAAATTTAACCATGTTCTCTAGATTTTCTAATTTATTGCCATATAATTGCTTCTAGTAACCACTAATGATCCTTTGAATTTCTGCTGTATCAGTTGTAATGTCTCCTTTTTAATCTCTGATTCATTTATTTGAGACTTTTCCCTTTTTTGTTATTCTTTAGTCTGACTAAGGTTTGTCAATATCTCTTCTTTTCAAAAAGCCAACTTTTCTTTTTGATTTTTTGTATTGTTTTATTTATTTCAAATTCATTGATTTCTCCTCTAGTCTTTATTATTTCTTTTTCATTACTAATTTGGGGTTTAGTTTGCTCTTGCTTTGCTAATTCTTTAAGATGAATTGTTAGGTAACTTGTTTGAAGTTTTTCTTCTTTTTTTGATGCAGGCACTTATAGCTATAAACTTCCCTCTTAGTACTGCTTTTGCACATCCCATAGAATTTGGTATACTCTGTTTCCATTATCATTTTTGCAATAAATTTTTCAAATACTTTCTTAATTTCTTCATTCACCCACAGGTTATTCAGGAACATATTGTTTATTTTCATGTATTTGTATAGTTTTCCAAATTCCTCTTGTTATTGATTTCAGATTTTATTCCATTGTGGTCAGAGAATATGCTCGATACTATTTCAATTTTTTGAATATTTTAAGACTTGCTTTGTGACCTAACATATGGTCTATCCTTGAGAATGATCCATGTGCAGAGGAGAAGAATGTATGTTCTATAGCTGTTCAATAAAAGATTCTGTAAATATCTATGAGGTCCATTTGTTCTATGTTTGTTGATTTTCTGTCTGGGAAATCTGTCTCATGCTGAAAGTGGAGTGTTGAAGTCTCCAGCTCTCATTGTATTGAGGTTTATTTTTCTCTTTAGCTTTAATAACATTTGCTTTTTATATCTAGATGCTCCAGTGTTGGGTGCATATATATTTACAATTGCTATACTCTCTTGCTGAATCACTCCTTTATTATTATATAATGATCTTTTGGTGCCTTCTTACAATTTTTGTCTTGAAATCTATAAATCTATTTTGTCTGATATAAGCATAGCTACTCCTGCTTTTTTTTTTTTTTATTTTCATTGGCAGGGAATATCTTTTTCCATCCCTTGATTTTCAGTCTACGTAACTCTGAACAAGTCTAGGCAACAAATCATAGGGTCTTGTATTTTCACCCATTGAGCCACCTTATGTCCTTTGATTGGAGAGTTAAGACTATTTACATTCAATGTTATTATTAATAAGTATGGAATTACTCCTGTCATTTTGAAATTTGTTTTCCTGTAGTTCTATTGTATTCTTTTCATTTTTTCCTTTGTTCCTGTTATCTTTTTAGTGAAGATGATTTTTCTTCAGTGGTATAATTTAATTTGCTGCTTCTTATTGTTTGTGTATCTGTTGTATGTTTTTTGATTCAACGTTACCATATGGCTTGCAAATACTGTTACAACCTATTATTTTAAATTTATGACAACTTAACACTGATTGCATAAATTAACAAACAAACCAAAAGAAAAACTAATAAAGGCTACACTAACTTCACACCTACAACACACACTTTTTAACTCTTTGTTGTTTCTCTTTATGTCCTGTTATACTATTTCTTGAAAAGTTGTTCTAGTTATTATTTTTTATTGGTTTCTCATTTAGTATTTCTACTTATATGAGTACTTTATACATCACAATTACAGTATTATAATATACTGCTTTTTCTCTGTGCTATAACCAGTGAGTTTTGTACCTTCAGATGATTTCTAATTGCACATTAATGCCCTTTTCTTTTCAGATTGAAGAACTTCCTGTCTTGTAGGACAGGTCTGGTGTTGATGAAATCCCTCAGCTTTTGTTTCCCTGGGAAGGTTCTTATTTCTCCTTCATGCTGGAAGGATATTGTCACCGGATATTCTACTCCAGGGTACAAGTTTTTGTTTTTCTTTTTTTTCTTCAGCAGTTAAATATGTCTTCCCACTCTCTCTTGGCCTGAGGTTTCCACTGAAAAGTGTACTACCAGATATATTTGAGCTCTATTATATGTTATTCGTTCCTTTTATCTTGTTTCTTTTAGGATCCTTTCTTTATCCTTGACCTTTGGAAATTTGGTTATTAAATGTCTTGAGGTCGTCTTCTTTGGGTTAAAATCTGCTTGATGTTCTATAACTTTCTTGTACTTGAATGTTGATATCTGTCTCTAGGTTTGGGAAGTTCTTTGATATTATCCTTTTGGATAAACTTGCTAATCCTATCTCTTTATCTACTTCCTCTTCAAGTCCAACAACTCTTAGATTTGCCCTCTAGGGGCTATTTTCTAGATTTTGCAGATGTGCTTCATTGTTTTTTGTTCTTTATTTCTTTTGTCTCCTCTGACTGTGTATTTTTAAATAGCTTGTCTTCAAGCTCAGTAATTCTTTCTTCTCCTTGATCAAGTCTCTATTAAGAGACTCTGAGACATTCTTCAATATGTCAATTGCATTCTTCAGATCTAGAATTTCTGCTTGATTCTTCTTAATTATTTCAATATCTTTTTAAATTATTTCAATAGTTTTGAGGAACAGGTGGTTTTTTGTTAAGTGGACAAATTCTTTAGTAGTAATTTCTGAAATTTTGGTGCACCCATCACCAAAGCAGTGTACACTGTAGCCAGTGTGTACTCTCTCACCCCCTCCCTGCTTCCCCTCAAGTCCCCGAAGTCCATTATACCATTCCTATGCCTTTGTGTCCTCAAAGCTTATAAGGTCCCACTTATAAGTGAGAACATACAATATTTACTTTTCCATTCTTGAGTTACTTCACTTAGAATAATTATATGCAACTGCATTCAGGTTTCCGCTAATGCCATTATTTCATTCCTTTTTATGGCTGAGTAGTATTCCATGATATATATATATATATATATATATATATATATATATATATATGACTTTTTTTAATCCACTTATTGATCGGGCATCTGGCTGGTTCCATACTTTTGCAATTACAAATTCTGCTGTTATAAACATGCACGTACAAGTGTCTTTTTTCATATAATGACTTCTTTTTTCTCAGTAGTTAACCAGTCAGGGGATTGCTGGATCAAATGGTAGTTCTACTTTTAGTTCTTTAAGGAATCTTAATGCTGTTTTCATAGTGGTTATGCTAGTTTACATTACCACCAGGAGTGTAAAAGTTTTCCCTTTCCACCACATCCAAACCAACATCTATTATTTTTTCATTTTTAAATTACAGTCATTCTTTCAGGAGTAAAGTAGTATTACATTCTGATTTTAATTTTCATTTCCCTGATAATTAGTGATGTTGAGCATTTTTTTTTCATTTGTTCATGGGCCATTTGTATATCTTCTCTTGAGAACTGTCTTTAAATTTACCTCATAGAATGCTGAATTCCTTCTCTATGTTATCTTGAATTTATCTGAGTTTTCTCAAAACAGCTATTTTGAATTGTTTTTCTGAAAGGTTACATATCTCTGTTTCTCCAGGATTGGTCCCGTTGTGCCTTACTAAGTTTGTCTGGTGAGGTCATGTTTTCCAGGATAGTCTCGATGCTTGTAGATGTTCATTGGTGTCTGGGCATTGAACAGTTAGGTATTTATTGTTGTCTTCATAGTCTAGGCTTGTTTGTTCCCATCCTTCTTGGGAAAGCTTCCTAGCTATTTGAAAGGACATGGGCCCTAAGCCTAATAATGCTGTGATTTTTTTTTTCAGACTCATACAAGTACTGCCTTTGTGGTCTTAAATTAGATCTAGAAGAATTCACTGGATTACCAGGCACAGACTTTTGTTCTTTTCCTTTACTTTCTCCCAAACAAATGGAGTTTCTCTCTATGTGCTGAGCCACCTGGAACTGGGAGTTTGATGATGCAAGCACCCCTGTGTCCACCATCACTGTGACTGTGCTGGGTCAGACCTGAAGCTAGCAAAGCACTTCTTGCCCAAGGCCCACTATAACCACTATCTGGCTACCACCTGTGTTTATGCAAGGCTCTAGGGCTCTATAATCAACAGATAGCAAAGCCAGCTCAGTTTATGGCCTTCCCTTCAGGGCAGCAAGCTCCCCCTGGCCCCAGACAGGTCCAAAGAGGCTATCTTGGAGCAAAAGATTGGAATCAAAAACCATAGAAATTTACCTGATGTTCTATTCTACCATGGCTAAGGTGGCACTCAAATCACCAGACAAAGTCTTTCTCACTCTTCCCTTCCCTTTTCACAGACAGAGGAGCCTCTCCTTGTGGTCACCACCACCACCAGTCAATGGGGTATTCTGTTAGATCACTGCCAATGTTCTGTTAAGGTGCATGGGCTCTTTCATCAGCTTGTGATGAATGTTGCCAAGCCTCGGGCTTACTCTTCATTGGGTTCTCCTCTGCACCAGGGCAGGTCCAGAAATAATGTCCTAGAGCCTAGGCTAGGACTTGAGGACCCCAAGAGCCTCTTTATTTCTCTACCCTACTGTGGCTAAGCTGGTATATATGGTACAACACCAAGTCCCCTTAACTTTTCCCTGTGTTTTTTTTTTTTTTTCCAAACAGGAGGAATCTTTCCACTGTAGCCAGTAGAGCTGGGAATGTGTTGGGTCACACCTGAAGCCAGCATGTCTCAGAGCCCAAGCCCACAGCATACAACCTAGGTATCAGTGCTGGTTATTCAAGGCCCAAAGGTTCTTTTGTCAGCAGATAATGAATCCTACCAGGACTTAGTTTTTCCCTTCAAGGCAGCAGGTTCCCTTTTGGCCCTGGGTGTGTTTAGAAATACCATCCATGAACTAGGATCTGAAACAGGGGCCTTATGACTCATCCTGGTGTTCTGTATCACTGTGGCTGAGAGACAAGACAAAGTCCTCTTTACTCTTTGTTCCCTCTTCAGGCAAAAGGAAGGAGTCACTTTCATGGCTGTGAGCTGTGCTGCCTAGGGTTGGGGGAAGAGTGACACAAGTACTTCTTTAGCTATCATGGCTTGTGTCTCCCTAGGTCATGTGCCTCCTTAGTCCATCGGCTCTAAGCCCTGCCCAGCACTAGCACTTTCCTAGAAATTGCAGTCCTTGTGGTCTAAACTGTCTTTCAAGTTTACCTAGGACCCCAGAGCACTTTGGCTCATGGTGGCCAGGCTTTCCAAGAAACCAAAGTTCTGACTGCTGAGATGGGCAATTCCTTCTGGCTAGTCCAAATGCTCCTCCTTATGTGGATGTTGGCTGAGCCCAGCATGGCGTTTCTCTTCTCTGTGACCCAGCAGCATTGAATTCAATGTAAAGTCCAGCAGTCACTTCACCCTCACTCCCCCAAGTGCATAAACTCTCTGCGCTGAACGGTCACTGCCAGTGGATTGGGGAGGGGTAGCATTGATTAGTCAAGACTGTATCTCCTATTCTTTTAAATACCTCTCTCAGTGATGTGAAGTTAAAACTAGGTACCGTGATTGTTTACTTGATTTTTGGTTCTTATGATAGTGCTTTTCTCTTTTCTGTGTGCAAATAGTTGTTAAAATTTGGTGTTCCTATGGAACCAGGAACAAATGGTGTAGGCTCCTATTCTGCCATCTTGCTCTGCCACCCAAGCTTCTTAATATGATCCTATTTTTGTAAAAATTCAATGCTAAATAGAATGTAGGGCACTGAGTATTTACTACAAACTGAACAAAAAATAGACGTGATTTTTATTTCCAAGGAATTTTACAGTTCAATGGCAGAAACTATGAGTTATAAGTGACATTAGCAAGATGTGCTACTAAAGTTTCCTGGTACTAGTCAGTCAACAGAAATAAACCAAGACAATGAACAAACAACTATATTTCTGTTGGAATGGTTAAGGAAATATGCTAGAGAGAACCAGAGGAGTGGCTAAATTCCTGTAGAAGACACACACCTAGGATAGCAACATAGAGTGGTGAGTGAAGCACTCTACCTGTAACATAGCATCTCCCAAGCTGGGATTGTTGTTAGGCTGGAGCCTTCCAGAAGTCCCCATTGCAACTGCAGTTGCCTGTAGTCCTTGCTACAGAAGAGTCCCACAGTCCTCACAGACTCCAAATCCAGTTTGGAGAGTTACCTGGAGGTAATTCAACTGCATTTCCCCAGAATAGGAGCTTAGGTTGAGGACACCCCACCCTTGCAACCCAAGATGGCCTCATCTCGAAACTGAACCCACAGCTAGAGTGTGTCCCTGCCCTTGGGGCCAATGGCCACTGCTTCTCTGTGTCCCTGAGTCTCCATCATCATTTTACCATGCTCAGACAGGACACTGCAGCAACTAGCCACGGTGGCATGAAAACTAGGCTTAGTGACATGGCTTAGACCCCAGTATGTGAACCTACATAGAACCCCAAACCCCAAGGAAAAGAGACACTGTAGAGTGAGAAAGCTGACACACAGCTGGCTGGCTCACCATGCCTATACAAACCTGTGTACATCCACGTACAATTTGTCTCGCCTGACCACCAGTACAGTGGTAGCTCAGGTCCCTGGAGAGTTAACTACACAGTAGGCCAGTCCACGGCTCACCATGCTTAACAGCCAGAGCAAAGGTGACCTCATCCCCTGGACAGCCCATGGCATACCCAGCTCTTCCATGAAGCATGCACATTTTTGGCCTGACAGCCAGCCTGGCACCCCTTCCATCAGGAAAAACTAACTACTGCTCTCACTCCTGTCATCTAAGCCACTGACACCATCACAAACGTCACTGATGTGGATTATAGCTGAGGAAACATCACAGAGACCACACTACTGAGTCTAGCCAGAATCAAACCAATGCACTACACCCGTCCAACACCATAGGACCCATCTACATCAAAAATATCTTCATAAAATCAAAAAAGGTGGCTGTTCCAATATATGTGCAGATGTCAATGTAGGGACACAAGAAACATGAAAAAACAAGGAATCATGACACTCTCAAAGAAACATAATAATTCTCCAGTAACAGACCCCAAGTAAAAGGAAATTTCTAAAACATCTGAAAAGGAATTAAAAATGGTGATCTCAAGGAACCTCAGTGAGATATAAGACAACACAGGCAATTTAATGAAACCAGGAAAACAATTCATAATCTGAATAAGAAATTCAAGAAAGATAGATGTCATATAAAAGAACCAAACAAACCTTGGAGATGAAGAGTTCAATGAATAAAATACAAAATACAACAGAGAACTTTCGCAGCAGACTAGATCAAGCAGAAGAAAAAAAATTCTGAAGTTGAAGACAGGTCTTTAAAAATAATCTAGTCAGAGAACCAAATTAAATTTAAAAAGAATTTTAAAAGCCTGTGGGACTTATGGAACACTATTAATTAAACAAACAAGTATTTACATTACAGGAGTGTGCAGGGAGAAGAGCTGGAGAAACAAATACATTTTAAAAAAGAAAATTTTCTAATAAACAACCTAATGATGCACCACACAAAATCTACAAACATAAGAAAAAAAAAGCCCAAACTTTGTACGATGAAGAAAATATTAAAGCTCAGAGCAGAAATAAATAATATAGAAACTAGAACATCAATTTAAAACATCAACAAAATGAAGAATTGTTGTTTTGAAAAGATAAGATAAATCATATCCAGATTTATTTAGAAAAAAAGAGGGAAGACACAAATAAATAAAATCAGAGGTGAAAAAAGAGACATTACAGCTGATACCACAAAAATACACAGATTTAGAAGAGATAATTGTGAACAATTGTACATCAACAAATTTTCTAATCTAGAAGAAATGTCTACATTGTTGAATACATACAACCTTCCAAAATTAAATGATGAAGAAATAGAAAATTTGAGCAGACCATTAACAGTGAGAAAATTGAACTGATAATAAAGTTTTCTATCAAAAAAAAAGTCCAGTGCCTGATGTCTTTACTGAGGAATTTGATGAAATATTTAAGGAAGGACTAATACCAATTTTTCTCAAATTATACCAGAAAATTTTTAAAAAGGCAATAGTTCAAAATTCATTTTCTGAGGCCACCATTACCATTATATAAAAACCAGGCAAGGATAAAACAAAAAAGAAAAAGAAAGGACAAATAAACTTGATGAGTATAGATGCAAAAATTCTTAACAAAATACAAAGAAACCAAATTCAGCAGCACATTTAAAAAATTATTCATTGTGATCAAGTGGGATTCATCTTAGGGATGCAAAGATGGTTCAACATAAGCAAACCAATAAATGTGATTCATCACCTCAGTTGAATAAATTGCAAATATTAAATGATCATTTCAGTAAGTGCATAAAAAGCATATGACAAAATTAAATTAAACATTCTTTCATAAAAAACCTCTTAACAAATTAGGTGTAAAAGAAAAGTACCTCAACAATAAAGTCCATATATGACAAACCCACAGCTAATACACTGAATGAGGGTACGCTGAAAGCTTTTCCTCTTAGATCCATAACAAGACAAGGAAGTCCACTTTCACTATTTCTACTCAACATTGTACTGGAAGTCCTAGCCAGATCAATTAGACAAGAGAGACAAAAATAAAGAGAATACAAATTGGAAAGGAGGAAGTAAAATTGTCCCTGTTTGCAGACAACAGGATCTTATATTTAGAAAAACCTAAATACCAAAATCTCTCAGAACTAATAAACTAACTTAGTAAAGTTACAGTACAAAAAATTATTATACAGAAAGCATTATTGTTTCTACATGTTAATGGTGAACTATCTGAAATAAAATTATAAAAATAATTTTAACAGCTACAAAAATAAGATACTGTATGCTGATTTTGTATCCTGCAACTTTCCTGAATTAGTTTTTCAGTTCTAAGAGGTTTTTGATAGAGTCTTTAGGTTTTTCCATATATAAGATCATACTGTTTTCAAACAAGTACAATTTTACTTCCTTCTATTCAATTTGTATGCCCTTTATTTAGACTAATTGCTCTGGCTAGAACTTCCAGAGCTATGCTGAACAGAAGTAGTGAAAGTGAGCATATTTGTTTTGTTTCAGTTTTTAGATAAAGAGCTTTCAGTTTTTCCCCATGCAGTATGATTTTAGTTTTGGGTTTGTCATATATGGCCTTTATTGTGTCGTGGTACTTTCCTTGCAAAATTATGTATAGCTTGCAAATATTGTAGTACTTTCCAAAATTATGTATAGTTTGCAAATATTGTGGTACTTTCCAAAATTATATATAGCTTGTAAATATTGTGGTACTTTCCAAAAATCATATGATCATTTCCATAGATACAGAAAAGCATTTGACAAAATTCAACATCCCTTCATGATATTGAGAGTTTTTAAGAGTATTTTCTCAAACGCTTTTTCTGTATCTACTGAAATAGTCACATGATTTTTGTCCTTTATTCTGTTGAGGTGATATATCACGTTTATTGGTGTATGTTGAACTATTCTTGTGTTCCTGGAATCAATTCCACTTGACCATGGTGGTGTTCTTTATTTTTTGATGTGTTGTTAGACAGTTCACTAATATTTTATTGAGGAATTTTGCATCCATTTTCATCAAGGATATTGGCCTGTAGTTTCCTTTTCTCTTTTTTCCTTCCCTGGTTTTGGTATTATCAGGGTTATGTTGGCCTTGTAAAATGAGTTAGAAAGTATTCCTTCCATGTTAATTTTTTGGTATGGTTTGAAATGAATTGGTATTATTTCTTATTTAAAACTTGAGTTGAAATCAGTAGTGAAGTTATGCAGTTCTAGGCTTCTCTTTTTTGGGAGACTGTATTACTGATTCAGTCTTGTTACTTACACTTTGAAGAAACACTGTCTAACAGTGGCTATATGTCGGAGAAAAGGTAATGATGGTATATATGTGAGCTTCCTAAATAAACAGGTGTGGGGGCATGTATTCTCTGGCTGTTACGTATAACAAAAAATTTCTTCTAGGTCTTGCTTTTTTGAGTAGCCTGGTTTTCAGCCTTCTTATAATTATTTCAGCTACCAAAAATCCTTTTAGTAAATTCCTTTTTTTTAACTTTAGTTAGCAAGAGTTGCTTTGTATTGCTTGCAACCAAGAAACCTAATGATAAAAGTTATTATTTAAATGGAATTAGAGTGTGGCAATCAGTGTGCTAGGGCTTTTACAAAAGTTTGTGCATTTAATCCTCACAAATGAAGCTTGAATAGCGGGAATTACTCCCACTGCACAGGAAGAAAACTGAAGTGGAGAGGGGGTGTTACTTAGAAGTTAAAGTCACAGTCCTTGGAGCTGAGCTACTTCAGGGCACAGTGAGTTAGCATCATTTTTTTCTGGATTGTTTTCATTGTCTAAGAAATGGAAACAAAAATAGCATTAATCTGAAAGGGGCCTTATGAAAGTTAATTACTTATACAAGTAAACCAGTTAGATCAGTGTTTGGCAATTATAGCTTCTTAGGAAGTATCAGCTACCATTCTTACTGGATAGTTTCGCAAAGCTCTTAGAGCTGAAAAATGTCAGAACTGACGTCAAATATGAATCTTCCTAACCCCAAAGTCTGGTCTTTTTCATAATACTTTTCTAAGAATTCACAAGTCTTACATTCAAGAAAACACTTTCCTGAGTAGATCCCTTGCCTACCTGGAGTTAAGTTTATGGGAAGGACTCATGCTTCTGTTTTCCCTGATGTATCCATAGAGATGAGAATAACAGAAAGAATTTGATAAAATATCAAAACTGATAGTAAAACATCAAGAGAAACAGCTTCCATTTATTTATTGTTTCTATGTGTCAGGATATATTAAAGAGATATACAATTAAGATTTATAATAACACTATGAGGAAGGCAATTTTTTCTTGAAAGATACAAGCGTATTACTAACTAGAACTCTTCTCTATGTTTTATAAAATCAAAATAGACTGGCCAATAGACTTATATCAAAAAAGGCACACCTGTAATCCCAGCGATTTGGGAGGCCAAGGTGGGAGCATTTATTGATGTCAGGAGTTCGAGACTATCCTGGGCAACTAAGTGAGACCCTATCTCTACAAAAAATATTATAAAATAAATAAATAAGTTAGCTGGGCATGATGGAATGTACCTGTAGTCCCAGATACTCAGAAGGCTGAGCTATGATGGTGCCACTGTACTCCAGCCTTGATGACAGAATGAGACCCTATTATCAAAAAAAAAAAAAAAAAAAGTAGGATTGTGAAGGCTCAAATATACCTCTATTTCTAGTAAATCTGATGATGAAAAATGCCCTTATTTATGCAGGAAGGTGGACTTCCTGCCACTGAACTCCAGGTTTAGACAAATGGAAACACCAAGTAGTTGCAGGCCATGAAGGAGGGCTTGAACTCAGGCCATGTAGCTCCAGACTCTTCTGAATACTATGGCATATGCTGCCTGACAACTGTAGTGGATGGGGCTTCACTCAGAATACAGTTGCAGACAGAAGACCATGTTCAGAGAATAGCCAAGAACACATTTCTCTATCTCATTACTGGCTGAGGTTCACTTCACTTTCCTTCCACAGTCTTCCCTTGAACGTCTCTCCTGCTGATACCTGAATTCCACCTGTCCCCTCCAAACAGAGCCCTGAACGTAAACTCTTTCAACTCTCAAGGTGCTTTTCTTGCAGCCTCACTTTCTGCCCCAGGCTTTGCCTCTTTCAAAGGTGGTTAAGTATCCACTGTCAAGTGCCAACTGAGACACACAGGTAGAAGCTTTTGCAGGAGTGGAGCAGGCCCGGTGAGTGGACACACAGATGGCCTAGAGTCATGCTGGGTAACTGAATGCCAGTACTAAGACCATTAGACTTAAACTAGAGCCTGCACTTGACTTAGACTGTTTTCCTTACTTAGGATTGTCTCAAAAAGCCGGCAGCCTGAAACCAGAGGCAGAGGACATTCATGTCTGTGTCTGAGAATAACTCAGAAAGTCACAATTGATAGCCATTTGCATTGTTTTTAACTGTTGTTTGCTTTTAGACCCAGATGAGAAACTTAAGAAATACTTAGCTCATGAAGATAATGTGCATCTCGCTGCAGGCAGAAAATCCCAAGATTTGCAGATTTATAAGTACAATATATGACATTTATGTGGATAAATAAACACATCAAAAACATCAGAAGAAAGCCAACTCTCAACAGAAAGCTCTCCTTTGTCCAAGCCACCTCCACTCAATCATCTTCAATAACACCACATGAAGCACGAACACCATTCTCCCTCGGTGTTTACAGTTAGTATTGATCATCTTTAAAGAGTTAGAAGCGTGGACATTTGTGGAACACTTATTTAAAAAATAGAATTTTTATTTTGAATCAAGTAAAGCATGATAGGCAAGATTTCTTTATGTATTTTTCAGACTCCTTGTAGATCACAGCATAGTTTTGTCCCATGACCAGTTCTGATAGATTTCTGGCAACACCTTGGAGGTTATAAGGGATGCATATTTCACATCACTGTATAATTTTACCACCTTGTGTGCTGTAGTTTAAAAGGAGCCCCTCTAGCTCCTCAAGGGTGGCCAATGTGAAGTTATGAAGAGGCGGGGCCTTCAGGAGATGATTAGGACATGAGGCCTCCTCCCTTGTGAATGGGGTTAAGACCTAGTCTTGGGACATTTGACCAAAATCTCATGCAAGCACAGCATAAATGAGATGGACTTTAGTAAGAGTAACTGCAAAGTCACATGGCAAGAAGCCAGGATACTAGGAGGGATAAAGAACTGAGAATAAAGCAACCAATCATAGGTGAGATCAGGCATTACTAGCTGCCAATAATTAGTCTATTAAATAGCACCTAAACCTTAGCCCATAGCCAATATTAGGCACCATATAAATCATTGTCATTTTTAAACTGATAGAAAAGTGGATAGGTTAATAAATCATGGTAAGACTTTCATTACTTATTAATAATAATTTCTTTGAGGATAAAAACTGAGCCTTACTACTGTAGCCCCAATATTTTAAATATATATTTTTATATTCATATATAAATACATATGTAATACATAAAACATCTTTTATTATTATACATAATTGTATATGTGATATAATGATTAAAATATATAATATATTAATATATAATTAAATACATATAAGAAATATTTAATTTTATATATAATGTATTGTATTATATATAAGATGATAAATGATTATATCTAACTTATATATAATACTTTTTATTATATTTACTATATTATTACATATATACTATATATTACATATTACATTATATAACATAAATGATTATACAAGACTATTACATATATTAGTTATATATTATATAATACATCATATTATATATAAGTAATATATTGTATAATGTATATTATATAACTATCATATACAATATATTGTATAATTGTTTATAATATACTTATTATATATTTTTGCTGAGAAAATGAACTAAAAACTAATTTGCTAAAGAGTTTCTCTCTTTTTCCCTGAGCAGCTTTTCTTTTAAAGTAAATAATGAACAATATTCTTGTGTAACATGGAACAGTATAATTTTTTTCTGGCTGATACATGTTCTTATTTGTAATAAAATAAAGAGAAAATTCCAGTGAATTTGACTAGTCTCAGAAGGGATCTAAATAATACATCAGTTGGATAATTAGAAACATCAAATATAGATAGTACAATGATAAATGAAAACTTCATAAAGACAAATTAAACCTCTCTTGATTTGTTGGCAAGGAACCTGGATACTATTAAGACAATTAATGTCTTCAGAAATCCAAGGGTCCACCTCATTCACAGCACACTTTCCCTTTATTGATCACTGTTTGAACATCCACGGAAGATGAAGACTCTTTCTTAAGAAAAAGACTGGGTGGGTTAGTAGGTTTTATCCAGGAGTAATAATTAGAGAATAGAAAGTGTGATATTGTGTCATTAATAATAGCAATGTGGAAGAAATAATGTTAAGAGCACGGTGGAGGGAACAGGACCTTACCTAGATTTTATCACCTATATTTAGGTTGTGAATTTTAGTGTAACAATGTATTTATCTGGGCAGAGAGATGAAGTAAAAATTTACCATATAAACTTCAAATCCATTTTATTAAAATTACAACCTCCCTCTAAATTTTCCACTTAAAACTTGCTTCACTTACTCCCTGCGTTCTTAATCATGGTAGAATGCCACCTTCTAATTAATCTCCCAAATAAAAGGATCTCTCTCTCTCTCTCTCTCTCTGTGTGTGTGTGTGTGTGTGTGTGTGTGTGTGTGTGTGTGTGTATCCTTTTATTCTCACTGATTTATCCTTCTGATTCCCACTTTCAGGTATAGCCTGGGCTCCACTACTAGAATACAACACGGAGGATATTTCCTTGTTGTATTCTAGTAGTGGAGCCCAGGCTATACCTGAAAGTGGGAATCAGAAGCCTTTATTGAGTGAACAGGGAGAGGCTGGATTAGGAACTAAGAGATATCTAAGTGAATAGAAAAGATGACAAAACATTATATGTCTTCAGGAGTGATAACATCCCACTAAGGGAAAAATAGAGTAATTTTGGCCATTGGTTTTGGCACGTGTACCTGAATTTTCATTTCTATTCATTAGTGCTCCAGACCCCTGTTCTGAGTCAGTGAGAGGGGAAGATGCAGGACTCCCACATATAACCTGTGTGCAGTCCTCAGTTGGTGAGGGAGTAATTAAGATGGACTTGAAGTTCAACACAACTTGACTATATTTTAGACAGCCTTTTATTTTTTTTACCTGGCCCTAGCCTCCTAATCGCCTCTTTCTTAAAGCATTTAGTTCAGAAAATTTTCAATTATAAATTTGTTATCTGCTCCCTTTGAGATGTAAATCTTCCAACCTACTTCCAGTTGTACTATCCAGTAACATCTTTCTTAAGGAGTGGAAGTCATCTCTTTGAAATGTAATCATGCAAGGAGAGAGCACACCCTATCTTCTGGTATCTGCAGGAGGGCAGGAGCCTAACTTTGATGAGTGCCAATTAGCAAACACAGATAGCCTAATCACACAGACCAGCCTCCTTCCTCACTTCCTCTGCTACCGCTCCACTAGTTCACACCAAATGGCAATGGACCAATTCTGGAGTGAAATAAAGGAAGTAAACTCAAGTGAGACGGATGATCTTCCCATTCCAACTTGGAGGACAAATAGATGATCAACTGAATAAATAAGGGGATGTAAATGAGGGACACACAGGCCGGGCACGGTGGTTCACGCCTGTAATCCCAGCACTTTGGGAGGCCAAGGCAGGTGGATCACGAGGTCAGGAGATCGAAACCATCCTGGCCAACATGGTGAAATCCATCTCTACTAAAAATGCAAAAATTAGCTGGGCGTGGTGGTGCGTGCCTGTAGTCCCAGGTACTCGGGAGGCTGAGGCAGGAGAATCGCTTAAACCCAGGAGGCGGAGCTTGCAGTGAGCCAAGATCATGGCACTGCACTCCAGCCTGCCAACAGAGGGGGACTCCGTCTCAAAGAAAAAAAAAAATAATAATAATAGAGGGACACACGGACTGATATTGAAGCATGGGCCAACCACATGCCAGCTGAGAAACTGCTTTTATTAACAAGGTACCTCTGCTCTTTTGCTGCAGTAAGGATTCACTTTGACAGTGAAGAAAATATACCAGATAAAGCTGACGCACCAACAACGTAAATTAAGCAGTGTGGGTGTTCAAGCAGATTAATCTGAGGCTCATCATCTTTCCAGCAAACTCTCCTCCTCCCCTTGGGTCTGCAGTCATTTAAAGGCATCTTACCATCTGTGCAGCTTCTCAAGTGGAACCTCCAGTCATCCTGAGCTTTTCCTCTTCCTTCTCCCTGACCTAGGGCTTCCTCTCATTCCCCAGCATAGCCTCAGGGTGATGCCAAAGGGAAGATAATGAGAACTCTTCTCCTGGGTTGTGCTTTCTGGACTAAAAGACACATGGATGAAAAGGGAATCGTTTGAGTGTGTAATTCCAGTAGGTGTTCAGTTCGCTTACACATTAATGGTTCACTTCTTGTCCAACAGCAAAGAATCTGCCTCTTCCACTTTCTCCTTGCTTTCTTTATGGCTCTGGAAGGCAGAATGGGAATTTGAGTTTATGAAGAACTGTGGTGCCAAGGCTGTGGATATAGTAGTTTGCATACATCATATTTATTTCTCCATTCATCCTGGGGAGAAAAATCATCTCCTGTTTCAAAAGGAAGAAATTAAAATTCATAGGAATTAAGCAATATGTTAGAGGTAATAGAGATTGTAAGAAGCTGAGTCAGGATATTAAACCAGGTACTCTAGGCTCCAGTGCCAGTACATTTTCTAAGAACCCATATGTAAAACTTTTTCCAGGGTAATTGCCTTTTCTAATACATGCATTTTTTTTCCTCTCCCTCTTTTTCTCGTCTCCCCAGTGATACCTGTGTTCATTAGGATGCTGCACCTTTAGCTGCAGGTGACTCGTTAGGCATTTGAGTGCCTTGCATTTGTCAGCAATTCAGGTTAACTTGCTCTTTCTAGTAAAATCCTTTCTAGCAAAATTCTTTCCTCTTGCAAAAATTCAATAAAAGCTGAAAGGCGAGGAGCAAGATTAGAAGGTTTAAAAAGGAAACTAGATAACTAAGGAAGAAAAGTCCCACCAAGCCCATATTTCTCTCTCACTGGAGCTTGTGAAAGGGCCAGATTGGCAGGAATGAAAAGGAAAGTCCTTTTTTATTAAGCTCACCTGTATAGTATTATCTCTTCAGAGGTGTTTATGAAAACATTCACACACAGTAAAACATGCCTCTGTAGACCCAGTTTTTATTGAATTTCCTCAGCTCTCCATCAAATTTTAAAATCCTTGTCTATTACTCCATCTCTACATAAATCATACCCCATGTCCATTAGATTCTGGCTTAGCTGCAATTCTCTCCAGCTCCTGGTAATTTGATATAGAATTATGTATCACGCTGAAAAGGCACCTCTATCCTGGCCTTTCAAATCACTTGGGGATGCATGACAATTGTCTTGTTTCATTTCATGGGGGAAAAACAAAAACAGAATCTAGAGGAAAAGAAAAAAAATCGCTTGCAATTTTATTACCTCAGAGTCTCAATTACTTTGGTGCTAATGACCCATCCTCCTACTTAAACACCATCTTGATCCTGCTGCTGACAGTACTCAGAGGCTGCCTTGGCCTTCTGTGTGGCTGATCTTCACACTCTCAGGAAAGAGGAGCCGGGCAATCACAGAGGTGGGGTGATGGAGCATTATCATAGTGAGTGAGGGAGTCAAACACAGTGACTCAAAGGAGGTATCACTATGGAATTCAGAAGCTGAGAGTTGAAGGCAGCCCTGGATATCACTCCCTAGTGTCATGCCCTAAACCAGATTTTATCATGAAGGGCTTTGATGGTACACAATGGGCTGCTAGTCTTCAAAGTTTTACAAATTAAAAAAAAAAAATGCTAGTGTATATCTCTTCCAGGCCTATCGTCTTCTTATGTTACTTTGCTCATTCATTCAATATTCATTCATTTATTTAATCAGTTAATAACCACAACAAAACAATGGAGCACCAACCGTGTGCCAGTGGAATGTAGGTGCTGTAACGTGATGGTGAATAAAATGCACAGGGTTCACGCCTTGTGTATTTATATTTCAGTGAAAAATGCATGTAGGAAAAAGGATTGACATACATAAATTCAGCATGTGAACGTTATATGGAAGTCACAGGTAAGGCAAATACGGTAAAACTTTCAAAGGTCTTAAGTTCAAAAATACAATAAATTATTATATTGGGGTTATAGTAGAAATCTAACCTGAGTGAGGTCACATATTGACATATGCATTTGTTATTTCCACCAAAAGTGTCCATCAAAACAAGGTCAGTGTATCGGTACAGATGTTTATCAGTGTCTGAATACTGAACTGGCACAAATCACGGATACCACCATTAATCCACCAGAAAGAAGAGCTGCTGTTGTGGGTAAGGTTAGGTAAATCATAATAGAAATCAAGTAAGCATTGACCTCCATAACTGGAATGGCCCCTGGAAGTTATGTTCTCCCTTCTTTTCTGAATACTGTTCTATTGGCATCACTGCCTTGGGTAGTATAGGAGCGTGTTTTTCCCTGGTAAATTCTTTCAAGACAACAGTCACTCACACTTCATGATCACTTTGATCTCTAGAAGTTATTTTCCATGAGAATGAGTCTCTCCTTTGGTCCTCATAGCTCTACTTCCACTTTCTGCAGGTTTCTCCCTTCACTGTGGTGTTCCCTGATGCCTACCTATACCTGTGCTGTCTCTTCTGGAGCAATCAGCCCGCATCCCAGGCACTGGGATTGACCAAGAACTTGCCCACTGCTCTCCTCCCCTTCCTCCACTGCCCCAGACTGTGGCCTTTCCTGCTCCTCTTCATCTTTCTACCTATCAGGGAAGCACTTTTTAGAAAGCTGAAGTTTCAAAGGACCCTGAAGCAGAGGTGCACTCTGTCTCTTATGTTTCTCCCCACAAAGAGGACAAGATGATAAACAACTCCTAGGAGTCTCTCACCCGACACCCAGAAGTGATTTAGTGTAATGTCTCACAATAAAAAAAGAGATGAGCCAAAATACTGAAGCACCTCAGGAATGGATTTTCTCAAATAAGTGGTTGTGGAACTTAGAAAACAAAATTTAGGGAAATACACTTTGCCAAGTAGGATCAGGCTTTACCCAGGCAAGAAAAAGTTGAGCATGCAGGCCATAAGCAACTGGGTGAACACAAAGGGATTTTCCATTGTAAGGCAAGAACACTCATAAAGATTTTCAGAGGGCTGGGTGTGGTGGCTAACGCCTGTAATCCCAGCACTTTGAGAGGCTGAGGCAGGTGGATCACCTGAGGTCAGGCATTTGAGACCAGCCTGGCCAGCATGGTGAAACCCCGTCTCTACTAAAAATACAAAAATTAGCGTGGCATAGTGGTGGGCGCCAGCAATTCCAGCTACTTGGGAGGCTGAGGCAGGAGAATCGCTTGAACCCAGGAGGCTGAGGTTGCATTGAGCGGAGATTGCATCACTGCACTCCAGCCTGGTCGACAAGAGCAAAATTCCTTCAAGAAAGAGAGAGAGAGAGAGAGAAACAGGAAGGAAGGAAAGAAGGAAGGAAGGAAGGAAGGAAGGAAGGAAGGAAGGAAGGAAGGAAGGAAGCAAAAGAAAGAAAAAAAGACTTCCAGAGGACTTGGGAGAATATTCTCTCAAAATCATTGTGTCTTAGTCTTGTGCTGCTGTAACAGAACACTGCAGACTGGGCAATTTACAAGGAAAAATTTATTTATTATAGTTCTGAAGAATGAGAAGTCCAAGATCGAGGTGCTATCTTCTGACAAGTGCCTTCTTACTGTGCCCTCACATACCAGAAGGTGTGTGAGGGAAGGTGGAAGGGCAAGACAGAGACAAAAAGCCGTGTTCCCACTTGGCAGAAGAGAGAGAACCCAACCCCCATAAGCACTTTTAATAGCAGCGTTAATGCATTCAGGAGGGTGACGCTGTCACGACTTAAACATTTCATCAGGGTCCCCACCTCCTGACACTGTTCAATTGTGGATTAAGTTTCCAATGCAAGAACTTTGGTGGACACATTCACATTATGAGTCTGTGATTGGCAAGGGAATTACAAGGCAGCACCATTTGCTGAGTATCATTATTCCCTACAAAATTTCACTTATGGCACCTTATGCATTACCCACAACATCCCTTCAGACAGAAATTACTATCCCCATTTTACAACAGACTTCACTAACTCAGGAAAGCCACAGGAGTTAAGCCATTTACCCAAGCAGCCAAATACAAAGGGCGGAGATTTGAATTTAAGCTGTATCTTACCCCAAAGCCTGTGCTGTTTACTTGCTCACACGATCCCTGCCTATCTTTACTTAGCATCTAGTGTGTTTAATGTCGTTTAGGTATAACATCCCATTTACATTTTCGTTTTCATTTTATTCTCCAAGTAAAGTATGTAGAAAGTATGAATATTTCCATTGAATAACTAGGGGAATTAAAGTTCAAAGACTTTAATAAATATGTCCAGATCATAGCACTAGTATGCAGCAGAACTAAAATTTGAATTTATCTCATGGGGTTACAGAGATAATTAACTCTGTTACAAAGAGGTAATTACTATGTGTGTAAGCTAACAAAATGTGTTTTGCATGTACTATTTCTTGGGGTAGCTACAAAATACATTTTGTTGGCTTAGACACTTAGTACAAAGGCAATAATTGTTCATTATTATTGCAGATATGCACACTTAAGCTACTTTAGATTAATCTATTCTTTGGAAAAAAAAATTAAATTCATTCTGCCTGATTATTCCCTTTTTCCCTTTCTCTCTAGGTTCAATTTCATGGCACTCCAGCCTCAAGGACTGTGATTTATTCAATGTAGGGTGAACATCTCCATAGGCAGTATGCAGCACTGAATAGTGAAACAAATGTGGGCTTCCGGGTCAGACATTTCTGGATGAGGATCCTGATTTCATGCACTGGCTCTTTCATCTTAGGAAAAGCCTTGCACTTCTCTGGGCCATAGAAAATGTAAAATAGGAAATTTTACCTATCCCAAAACATTGTTGAGGGTTTTATATCTCAAAGTGCCTACCCAAACTTGATGCTTAGTAATACATGTTACTTCTGCTCTCAGCCTCATCCTTACTTGGAAATCTTGTGCGGAGGCTAAAAGACAGTGCAATAGCCATTGGAAACATTGGTGATTTTTATTTGATGTATTTTTCCAGTTCTCTTTCTAGGAATACAGTATTAGATTGCTCTTCCCTACCTCTGAAAGTTTGTCTTATCCATGTGACTGGTAGAGGCCTATAAGTTATCAATGGAAGCTTTCTACCATATTCACCACATCTGCCTCCCTTCATGGCCATGACCTCCAAGTGTGTATCAAATTGGAGTCTGTGTCAGTGGGTACTTGAATAACTGCAGGAGGCAGGATCCCTCAATAAGCTGGATTGACATGAGGCATGAATAAGAATAACGGTGGTGCTGGCATAATTCACTGACATTTTATTTAACCACAGTATAACTTAAATATCCTGACTGATACAGGCAACATCTACCATGACTTTCCCTTCCATTTCATTTTTCACCGAAGAGGCCGGTATTAACGACTCATTTCTGTTTTCTGAGCGGCCCAGAGGAGCATGGAAGCAATCTGATCATGTAAGTAAATGATTTATCACTCCCTTTTGGCCCTAAACAAGGATTAGCCCTGTACCGTTCATCTCAAAAGATATAATTGGGCTTAAAATTAAAACTGCATTACCTTTTAATTCATTGAGAGGAAACTGGTGGTTTTGACTTAAATAGCATTTTCAAGTAAGGTATCTATTAGGAAGCTGTGAAAAAATTATTCCAGCCTGTTATACTGAGAGCCAGCATGGGAAAAGAATTGTTTTTCAAATGGTACACACTGAGCCTAAGGCCCTGAGAACAAACTTCATGATTGGAGGTGGACAGCAGGCTCGGCTCTGTGCCCATCTCCAACTTTAGCCCAAACTGCTTTATATAAATCTATTGTGATTATTTATTTTGTGGTGAGATTTTATTTGTAAAAAACTGTCATTGCTTATACGAATCCCCTGCAAAGGGCAGAAAAGAGGAGGTTAGCTTTCAGGAATCAGGGAACAAACCTAGGTCAGCGCTGGGTCCAAATAAACCATGACAGTTAAGAAGAGTGATGAATTAGGCCTCCTCCTTTTCTCTGTTTTAAGCTCATCTTAGTCTGTTCCCTGATTTTGGAGATAAGATCAGTCCACTAGGGATGGAACAACTGCCTTTGGCTGCTTCAAAGTTTGGAAACCAAGATGTAGGCTCCTTGTTACTCAAAGTTTGGGTGATAGATGTGCCTTCTAGGTTCTCCAGAAGGCAAGTGCAAACATAAATTTCAGAGTGAAAAAAGAGTAACACCTATGCAAGGAAAAGAGAGGGGCTGAGAAGGTCGGCGAGACCTTCACAGCACATACAGCAAAATCTCTGCCAATCCAATGGGAGTCCATGGAAAAAGGACTCTGCACCCTGGAATCTTACTGTGATTAGAAATAGCCAGAACCTTGTCCCAACACCATGCTCCCTCATTGAATGGGAGTGCTACAACTTCATTTGGAGTTGAGGTGGACTTTGATGAAGCTAGTGCTGGTGGCTACCAGGTGGCCACATTCTTCAGCAATGGGTAGTGAGTCTTTTCTTGAAGGGGGATCTGAGCAGCACCTGGGTCTGCCAGAGTGAACCACTTCCTGGGAGCTCGTGTCCCACTGGAGACCTCCTGCATCAGAATCTGTAGTTTAACAGATATCCAGACACATTGTCTTGCACTTTAGGATTTGAGAGGCACATAATTTGATCTAAGGAATAAAAGGAGGAAAATTACATGTTATGGCCAATAAGGGAGAGTCAGAGTTCCTAGATGTCATTTCAGCGACTTGATCAAAGAAATCCTTACCAATTTTAGGACGCATGAGAACCATTGAAAGAGCTTGCTAAAAATGTAATTCCCAGACCTCAAAGCCAAAGATACTGAAACCCAAAGTTAGCACATCTGGAGTGGACTCACCACTGGTGCATTTCAACAAATGCCCAGGTGGTTCTGAGGTCATTAATATATGTTTTATCCCTGGTAAAATGCTGATCTTTTGAGTGGAATTCTATACTTTCCATTGCCACATACCAGTAGCTGTGAGGCTTTGAACAAATTAATTATACATTTTGTGCTTCAGTATCCTCAAGTATAAAAATAGTCCCAAATGGTTGCGGTCAGTATTAAAAGAGAAAACATTCATGTTTACATTGTTAAAGAGGAAAATAAAGAGCTAAAAACAAAGCTGAACTGATGTATTTTTCAATCCAGTGCTTGAGGGTCACTTGAAAATGAGTTTTATCAAGTCTCTGCAGCCAAAAGCAGAGGACTAAATATAGAAGCAAAAAAGGGAGTGATTTCCAAATTGAGAATGATTCTACGAGTGAAGTTCATAAAGCTTCCCTGGGACTTTCTATTACTCTGAGCCACAAAAGTGCAGGCATTCTTTACCAAGGGGTGCAAGAAGGACTCTTTCATCATATTGTGGGGCTCAGCAACTTGTGGAGTCACTTTCAGATGTGCATTTTTGGTATGGTGATTTTTTATCATGGCACTCTTTATTCAAACTCCTATTGAATACTTACTTTGTGTTAGGCCTGGAGCTGGGTACCAGGAGTTCCATAGAAACAGCTGAGCCCCTGCACTCATGAGCTCACAGTGTGTGTTGTGGTTTGAATATGGTTTGTTTGGCCCTATCAAATTCGATTATGTTGAAATCAGCCCCTTGCCGCCCAGTGTTGGAGGTAGGATCCGGTGGGAGATGTTTGGATCATGGGAGTGGATCCCTCATGAGTGGCTTGGTGCTATTCTCACAGGAGTGAGTTTGCACTCTTAGTTCTTGCAATGACTGGTTGTTCAAAAGGTACCTCCTTCTTCTCCTCTCTCACTTCTTCTCCCTTGCCATATAATCTCTTCACACAGCTGCTCCTGTTTGCTCTCTGGCATTGAGTAAAAGAAACCTGAGGCCCTCACCAGAAGCAGATGGCAGTGCCATGCTTCTTGTACAACCTGCAGGACCGTGAGCAAAATAAACCTCTCTTATTTATAATTAGTCAGTACTAATCTTTCTAGCAACACTAAATCAGGCTAAGACACCATGGAAGTTATGGATACAGGTAGGTGTAGGCCACTTGTTCCAGGGGAGTAAAAGGAGCTCACTTAAGGCTGAGAGCTGAGATAAAGAGATCAGATGCTCAGCCGCATTCCTAGCCCTGAAAGAAGGCTCAGACAATGTTTAGCCAAGTGACACAGGCAAGTGACTTAACTTCTGTGTCAAAGCCTCTTCATCTGTAAAAGGAGAATGATAGAAAGCCTAGATCATATGCATTTTTATGAATATTAAGGAAGCAAATTTACATGAATTACTTAGAATGGTAGTTGGCATGTGATAAGCACTTAATAAATAGTTGTCATACTAGCAAACATCCATTCATCCAATGGAATAAAATTCAGCCACTGCAGATCATACTTCAGAAATATTCTGGGTTAAGACAATACACTGATGTAATGCTAATGCAATTGAGACAGGAAAAGTCTCAATACAAAATTGGAAATACTAAGTGCTCAGAAAGTGTTAACTATTCTTATTACTTAAACCAGACCGGGGAAGTTGTTTCTGGCAGGTATACAATAGGTTTTCCATAAACAGTAGTTTCCCTTCCTTGCTTTTTTTTTTTTATTTAACTTTTATTTAAGTTCGGGGGTACATGAGCAGGTTTGTTATATAGGTAAACTTGTGTCATGGCGGTTTGTTGTACAGACTGTTTCATCACCAAGGTATGCTGCCTAGTATCCATTAGTTATTTTTCCTGATCCTCTCCTTCTTCTCACCCTCCACCCTCCAATAGGCCCCAGTGTGTGTTGTTCCCCTCTTTGTGTCCATGTGTTCTCATCACTTAGCTCCAAAATAGCCAGTATGAAATAGAACCAAAGCTTCCTTGGTTTCAAGCATTAATTTTCGTGGGTATCTGTGGTTTTGCATTTAATGGTCCAGGAACACCAAGTAGCTTTCTGTTCCCATTGTCCACTCTCTGCTACCTCCTCCTTCCATGCCTTTAGTCATGATCCTTGAGCATCAGTGCTTCTCAAGCTTCTGGGAGGGCTAATTCTTCCTGGCCATTAAGACTCCTTGAGAACATCCTGCAGAAAGCCTGGAGCTAGCCCTCCTCTGAGGTTCTTGTAGCCCTTGGGAACTTGTACTTTCCTAACACTCACTGAAGCATTGTAATGGGTTCTCTCTGAGAGTCTGTGTCCACCCATAGACCATAGTCTTCCTAAGAGCAGAACTATAGTTTGTCACCTCCACAACTCCAGGGACTGGCACTAGATTGGCATATTTTTCAGTAAATGTTGAATAAAGGAATGAATCTTACTTCAAAGAGGGGTGACCTTCACTCTTCCAAACTTACCTTCTTCATCTATATCTTCTTAAGTCAATACTTACAGCCTAGTTTGCTATTATATTTCCCATTTTCCCACCTTATTTCAAAACCCAACCTTTGCTTAGAAATCTTGTCTACAGTCTGTCTCCCTATAGGCATAGGTTTTAGAGTCAATCAGACCTTGCTTAAAATCTGGCATTAGCCTGTTCTTGCTAAGTAGTCTTGTGCAAGGATTCTCAATCTCTTTCTATTCCTTCAGTTTTCCTAAATAGGGAAAAAGTGAGAAACACAAGAAAACATTAACGAAAAGAATTAAAAATACGCCTATATCATGTAATAAATATTGATATTTGATTAAATATGTATTTAATATAAATATGTAAAAGTATAAAGATACCAGTAGTACAATGTCCAGCATATATTAAGCACATTTGCATTACAACTGCAACACTGGTAAAATGATTAATCTGCTACTGCATTTTCATAGCAATGGTTCAGCATTGTTCTTTCTCCTAATTTTCATGTGAGTATTTCTCTGCATAGGTCACAATTACCTTAAACGTAATTGTCTAAAACTACTCATAATCATTCTTCCAAACCAGTTTCACCCAACTAGCTAATGTCATAATCTCTTTTCCTGCTGCTTAGACTTGACAACTAAGACTTGTTAACACCTCTTCCTCTCTATTGGCCAAAGTTCTAAGCTACAGGTAGCAGAATGTACTCTAGCAATTTTATATGGAAGGAATTTATTAAGGGACACTGACATAACAGGGTCGGGGGATGTCTGTAGGGAATACTTTTTCCAGGGAGGAGGAGTAGTTTAACACTGAGATTGTTTGGAATTGATGACATGTGATGATAATAAAAAGCAGGCTAACTTTTGGTTAATTTCATTATTGATTTTAAATTCTCTTTAAATATTGTATCTGCTTATTTCCTGAATCTGGGGCAGACTGTTCCTTCCTGTCCCTGAACCTATGATACATGCTGCTAAGGGATATTTGGTAGTTCACAGAATATCTAGGATGGACTTATGAATATATATATATATATATAAAACCAGGGCTTTGAGAAACAATGCCCCCCCACAATCTGGTATTGTAAGGGTACTATCTTTGCTAAACCCCCAATAGAGAATTTCTCTGCTCTAGTAGAAAATTGAGCAATGTTATGCATTACCTCTAATTCTAGAGACCCTCTGCAGTATATTATATATGCTACTGTGTCAAAAGAATCAATGCCCTATGCTTAATCTATATTTTCAAAAAGCTTACTTCCAAATCAAAGACTCCTAGAGAAGATCAAGCTGGAACAACCAACATCTCATACCTGCACACTAGTAGCATGAAATTTAGGAATGCAGTATGCACATGTACACAGGCAGTTCTTACTTTCCATAACATTATATTAACTGAAACTTGTACATATTAGAACTCGGTCTTTGTGTTTCATAGTTCCCTGATCGCTGCAAGAAAACCTGAAAATCAAGAACATAGCTCAGATATGCATGAGTTTCCATTAACATAGTGTCCTACCAAAACATGGAAAGGGGTTCACACGATTTAGAACATTCATAAATGATGGATTTCTACTAAATTCTCCCAAACATCTTCCAAATATTTGTCATATTTCATCAGCTCTACCTACAACATGTCCCTGCCTTTCTGGCCTCCTCTCATGGTTGCAGGTCAGACCCTCGCCCCACATCTCACTGACCCCTGCAGTAGCTTTTTGTCTTGCCTTTCTGCCTCCCTGCTTCCAGAGTAAATTTTCTAAATCATGATTGTGATTACGCCATATGCTCAGTGATGTAACTCCATCTCCTCTTCATTATCTGTGTAACACCGTCTGTATTAGCACCACATTGGGTATCACACTTTATTTCTTCAAATAAATCTCCCTTAGTCAAACAAATTAAGGGTATTTATTGTAAGGACTATTGAGTAGCTCACTAAACAAAAATAATTATTGAATAATTAGACATCAAATAATGGAAAATAGTGTGGTCCAGGAATCATAGGGGTGAGAAAAGGAGGCTAGATAACTTTCGACTCTACTTCTATCTATCAAGTAGTTCGAATACTTTCTCTGTTCATCCTGTGGTCTGTCTTAGTAAAGACTTGCTTCCTTCTCATGAAAAGTAGACCAGATTTCCAGCAACACCTGGACTGTATCTCTAGGAACAGAGAGAAGGATTTGTTTACCTTTTCCCTTTTTTACAGTAACAAACATTCCAGGAAATAATAGCAAACTTATATAGCATTATGTAAGTGCTTGGCACTGTTTTACATTTTTTAACCGATGTTTACTTATTTTCTTCTTTTTCTTTTTAGTTGACACATAATACTTCTACATATTTATGGGATTCAGAGTGAAGTTCTGATACACGTGTGCAATGTGTAATGATCAAATCAGGGTAAATAGCATATCCATCACCTAAAATGTTTATCTTTTATTTGTATTGGGAACATTCAAAATCTTCTATTCTAATATTTTTAAAATGTACAATGAATCATTGTTAACGATATCCATGCTACAGTGCTATTGAACATCAGAAATTAGTTCTTCTATCTGTAATTGCTCATTAACCAATGTCTCCCTCTCCTCCCCTCTAATGACCACAATTTTGCTGTATACTTCTATGACCTCAACTATTTTTGGCTCCCACGTATAAGTGAAAACATGTGCTGTTTATCTTTCTGTGCCTGACTTATTTAACTTAACACAGCGTCCTCTAGGTTTATCTATGTTGCTATGAATAACAGTGTTTTGTTTTTTAAATGGATGAATAGTATTCACTGTGTGTACATATAACATTTCTTTATCCATTCACCTGTTGATGGACATTTAGGTTGATTTCATATCTTTACTCTTGTGAATAATGGTGCAGTAAACATGGGGGTACATACATCTATTGAATATACTATTTTGTTTCCTTTGGATAAAGGCTCAGTAGTGGGATTGTGGGATTGCTGGATTATATGGTAGTTCTATTTTTAATTTTTGAGAAAGCTTTAAAGTGTTTTCCATAAATGCTGTACTAATGTATAATCCCACTATCAGTGTATCAATGTATGAAATTTTTTATCTCTGCATCCTCTGCAGAATTTGTTCTTTTCTGTTTTATGATAGTAGCCATTCTAACTGGGGTGAGATATCTTTTAATTTTCCTCCTGTCTTTTTATTTTTATTTTTTTGCGACAAGTTCTTGCTCTGTCTCCCAAGATGGAGTGCAATGGCATGATCATAGTTTACCGTAACTTCAAAATCTTGGGCTCAAGCAATCCTTTCAGTCCAGCATCCTGAGTAGCTGGGACTACAAGTGAGCACCACTACAACTGGCTAATTATTTAATATTTTATTTTGCAGAGATAAGCATCTCACTATGTTGTCAAAGTTGATCTCAAATCCTGGCCTTAAGCAATCTTCCTGCCTCCGCCTCCCAAATTCCTGGGATTATAGGTGTGAACCACCTCACTCAGCTGTGAGATAACATCTCACTGTGGTTTTGATTTTCGTTTTCCTGATGATTAGCCGTAATGAGTATTTGTTCATATGCCTGCTGGACATTTGTATCTTTTAAGAAATGTCTATTTAAATCATTTTTTTAATTTTGTTTTTTTTAGGTGGAGTCTTGCTCTGTCTCCCAGGCTGGAGTGCAGTGGTGCAATCTCAGCGCACTGCAAACTCTACCCACCAA
The DNA here is from genome assembly GCF_000001405.40 of Homo sapiens. Lineage (NCBI taxonomy): Eukaryota > Metazoa > Chordata > Mammalia > Primates > Hominidae > Homo > Homo sapiens. The sequence goes on along the minus strand of NC_000008.11, from coordinate 136,404,375 downwards.
GTTCAAGGGATTCTCCTGTCTCAGCCTCCGAGAAGCTGGGATTACAAGTGCCTGCCACCACACCCGGCTAGTTTTTGCATTTTTAGTATAGACAGGGTTTCACCATGCTGGACAAGCTGGTCTCAAATTCCTGACCTCAAGTGATCTACCCGCCTCGGCATTCCAAAGTGCTAGGATTATAGACATGAGCCACTGCACCCAGACTTTTTTTTAATTGAATTATTTGTTTTGTTACTGTTGAGTTGAGTTCATTGTATATTGTGGATATTAGTTCCTTGTTGAATGAATAGTTTCAGATATTCTCTTCCATTCTACAGGTTGTCTCTTCACTCTATTTATTGTTTCTTTTGCTATACAGAATCATATTAGTTTGATATAGTTCCACTTGTCTATTTCTATTTCTGTTGCCTGTGCTTTTAAATCTTACCCAATAATATCTTTGTCTAGACCAACGTTTTGAAGGATTTTTTGGATTTTTCTTCCAATAGTTTTGTAGTTTTAGGTCTTTCATTTAAGTCTTTAATTTGTCATAAGTTGGTTTTTGTATATGACAAGAAAAGGGATGTAGTTTCATTTTTCTGCATAGGGATATCCACTAATCCCAGGACCATTGAAGAGGTTATCCTTTCCCCAGTATATATTTACTGGCTTGTTTATGAAAAATCAGTAGACTATATATACACAGATTTATTTCTGTGTTCTCTGTTTTGCTCCATTGCTCTATGTTTCTGTTTTTACCCCAATATCATGCTGCTTTGGTTACTATATCTTCGTAGTATATTTTGAAGTCAGATGGTATGATGCCTTCAGCTTTTATCTTTCTGCTCTGGATTACTTTAACTATTCAGGTCTTTTGTAGTTATGTATGCATTTTGAGATTTTTTTTTTCTATTTCTGTGAAGAATGGCAATGGTAATTTGTTAAAGATAGAAATAAATCTGTACATTGCTTTGGGTAATATGGCAACTTTCACAATAGAAATTCTTCCAATTCATGGGATGGCTTTCTATTTTTTTGTGTATTCTTTACAATTTATTTCTCCAGCATTTTGTAGTTTTATTATAGAGATATTTCATCTCCTTGGTTAAATTTTTTCCCAGGTATATTTTTGTAGCTGTCATAAATGGGCTTATATTTAAAATTTCTTTTTCAGCTAGTTTATTATTTCCATACAGAAATGCTACTGATTTTTGTATGTTGATTTCATATCCTGCAACTTGACTAAATTTGCTTACCAGTTCTAAGACATTTTTTGGAGGTCTTTAGGTTTTTATTTTCATAAGATCAAGTCATCTACGAAGAAAAACAATTTGACTTTTTTTTTTTTTTCAATTCGGATGCCCTTTGTTTCTTTCTCTTCCCTCCTTGCTCTGGCTAGGACTTCCAGTACTATGTGGAATAAAAGCGGTGAAATGGACATTCCTGTCTTGTTAGATCTTAGTGAAAAATCTTTCTGCTTTTCCCCATTCAATATAATGTGAGCTGTGGATTTGTCATATATTGCATTTATTGTTTACATATATTCTTACTAGTATTAATTTGTTGAGAGATTTTATCATGAAGGGGTGTTGAATTTTACTAAATGCTTTTTCTGTGTCTATTGAGATGATCATATATATATATATTTGTCTTTCACTCTGTTCATGTGGTATATTGCATTTATTGACTTGCATATGTTGAGCCATTCTTACATCCCTGGAATAAATCTCACTTGGTCCTGGTTCATTATATTTTTATGTTCTCGTGGAACATATTTGCTTTGCTGGTATTTTAAGGACTTTTGCATCTAAGCTTATTTGAGACATTGGCCTGTAGTTTTACTTCTTGTTGCATCCTTGTCTGGTTTTGGTTTCAGAGTAATGCTGGCCTCACAGAATGTGTTCACTGAATGGTCTCAAAGAAATAATTTCTTTCCCTTCAATTTTTTATTATCACTTGAGAAAAAAAAATGGTGTTAGTTCCCCTATAAAAGTTTGATAGAATCCACCAGTACAGCCATCGGATTCTGAGGTTTTCTTTGTTGGGGGACTTTATTATTGATTCAATCTTGTTATACATCATTGGTCTATTTAGCTTTTCTATTTCTTGCTGGCTCAATCTTGGTAGGTTATATGTGCCCAGGAATTTATCCATTTCTTCTGGGTTTTCCAATTTGTTGCTGTATAATTAATACACCAACATTCACAATATTCTCTAATGATCCTTTGTATTTCTGTATTATCAGTTCTAATCAGTGTACTTTTTTGTTTTATTTATTTAGGACTTTATGTTTTTTCATAGTCTAGCTAAAGGTTTGTTGATTTTGTTTATCTTTTCAAAAAATAACTTTTTGTTTTGTTGATATTTATATATTGCTAATTTTGTCTCTTTCTGGTTTAGTTTTCTTCTGATCTTTATTATTCTTTCCTTCTATTATCTTAATTTTGGCTTGTTCCTGCTTTCCTAATTCATTTAGCTACAATGTTAGGTTTTTTGTTTGAAATCTGTCTCCTTTTTGGATATAGGCATTCATTGTTAAAACTTTCATTACTGCTTTTGCTGTATCTCATAAGTTTTGGTATGTTGTGTTTCCATTTTTATTTGTTTCTAGAATTTTTTTTAAAATTTTCTTCTGAATTTATTTATAGACCCATTGGTGATTCTGGAACACATTGTTTAATTTTTATGTATTAGCACAGGTTTCAAAATTCCTCTTGTTATTGATTTTTAATTTTATTCTCTTGTGGTCTGAGAAGACGCTTGATATGGTTTTGAGATTTTTAAATTTGTTGAGACTTGTTTTGTGGCCTAACATATAGTCTGTCCTAGATAATGTTCCATGTGCTGATGAGAGGAATATGTATTTTGCAGAATGTGTATATGCATTATGGATGAAATATTCTGTAGATATCTGTTAGGTCCATTTTGTCTATAGTACAGTTTAAGCCCAATGTTTCTTTGTTGATTTTTCTTTCTAGATGTTTTGTCTAATGCTGTGAGTGGGGTACTTAAGCCTCAAACTGTTATTTTATTGGGGTCTATTTTTTCACTTTAGTTCTACTAATATTTGCTTTATAAATCTGGGTGTTCCAGTGTTAGACCAATCTATCTATCTATCCATCTACCTACTTATGTATCTACCTATCTATAATTACAATTGTTATATACCCCTGCTGAATTTATTCCTTTATCATTATATAATGACCTTTTTGGTCTCTTTTTTTATTTTTTCACTTAAAGTTTATTTTGTCTTATATAGCTCCTCCTGCATGCTTTTCATTTCCATTTGTGTGGAATATCTTTTTGTATCTATTCATTTTCAGTCTATGTTATCTTTACAGGTGACATGAGTTTCTTATAGGCAGCATATAGCTAGGTCTTGTTTTCTTTCTTTAAAATCCATTCAGCCAGCCTACATCTTTTAATTGGAGAATTTAAACTATTTAAATTCAAGGTTGTTATTGATAGGTAAAGAATTACTGTTGCTCTTTTGCTAATCTTTCTCTGATTGTTTTGTATATCCTTTGTTCCTTTCTTCTCTTTATTGTTTATCTTTGCAGTTTGGTGTTTTCCTATGGAGATAACCTTTTGTTTCTTTTTCATTCTCACTTGTGTATCTGCTCTACCAATGAGTTTTATGCTTTTGTATGTTTTTATGATTGTTAATGTCATCCCTTGCTTCCAGATATAAGACTTCCTTAAGCATTTCTTGTGGGGCTAATCTAGTGGTAATGAATCCTCTTAGTGTTTGCTTCTCTGGAAAAATATTATTCCTCCTTCATTTACGAAGGATAGCTTTGTGAATACTGTATTCATGGATTGTAGCTTTTTATTTTTTCTTTTAGCCTTTCAAATCTATTATTCCAGTCCCTCCTAGCCTATAAGGTTTGTGATGAGAAATTTGCTGTTATTATGATGGGAAATCCCTTATATGTTATTTGACACTTTTTTCTTGCTGTTTTTAGAATTCTCTTTTTGTATTTGACTTTGGACAGATTAATTATATTGTCCCTTGGAGAGAGACCTTTTTAGATTGAATCTATTTGAGGCTTTTTTAGCTTCCTGTATCAGAATGTTTATATCTCTCCCAGGACTTGGAAGTTTTCAGCTATCATTTTATTAAATATGTTTTGTGTACCCTTTTCCATCTCTTTTTCTTCTGGAAGGCTCAAAAGGTAAATATTATTTGCTTAAGGGTATCCTATAGATCACAAACTGTTTCCCTTTTTTTTTTTTTTTTTTTGGTCTGACTGGGTTATTTTTAAAGGCCTAGTCTGAAGTTCAGAAATTCTTTCTTCTGCTTCATGTAGTCTGTTGTTGAAGTTCTTGATGATCATTGCATTAGTCAGGCTTCTCTAGAGGGACAGACCTAATAGAACATATGTATATAATATGAAAGGGAGTTTAAAAGAGAGATTTGGCTCATACAATCAGAAGACAAAGTCCCACAATAAGCTGTCTACAAGCCGAAGAGGAAAGAAGGCAGTAGTGGCTCAATCCAAGTCCAAAAGCCTCAAAGGCAGGGATGCTGACAGTATAGCCTTTGGTTTGTGGCTGGAGGCCTGAGAGCCTCCCAGCAAAACACTAGTTTAAGTCTAAGAGTCCAAAGGCCAAAGAACCTGGAGTCTGATGTAGGAAGAGTGGACAGGATGAATGGAAGGAAGCATCCAGCATGGGAGAAAGACGAAAGCCAAAAGACTCAGCAAGCCAGCTTATCCCACCTTCTTCCTGCTTTCTTCTGGCCATGCTGGCAGCCAATTGGATGGTGCCCACCCACATTCAGGGCGGGTCTTTTTCTCCCAATTCACTGACTCAAGTGTCAGTCCCTCTGGCAATACCCTCACAGACACACGCAGAACCAATTTACCAGCTACTTAGGCATCTTCCAATCCAATCAAGTTGACACCTAATATTAATGATCACAAGTATATGGTGTATTTCTTTTATTGAATTCTTCAGTTGTAAGATCTCTCCTTTGTTCTTTTTTTATAGTATCTATCTCTTTCTTAATTTTTTCATTCAAATTATGATTTATTTTTCTGAACTTTTAAATACTGTAAATCTATGTTCTCTAGTATCTCATTGAGTTTCCTTAAAATCACTATTTTGAATTTGTTTTCTGGCATTTTTTAGATTTTTGTCTTCTCCAAGGTCTATTGCTAGAGAATTATTGTGTTCTTTTGGCAGTATCATGTTTTCTTGCTTTTTCATGTTTCTTGTGTCCCTACGTTGATATCTGTGATCTTGTGTAACAGTCACTTCTTCCAATTTTGTGGGATAGCTTTCATAGGGAAAGACTTGTTTCTATAGACATGTGCTTTTTTCTTATGAGTATATCTATTTATTTTTATTTAACTTTTATTTCAGTTCAGGGATACATGTGTAGGTTTATACAGATAAATTTGTGTCACAAGGGTTTATTTTACAGATTATTTCATCTCCCAGTTATTAAGCCTAGTACCTATTAGCTAGTTTTCCTAGTCCTCTCCCTCCTTCCATGCTCCACCCTACAGTATGTCCTAGTGTCTGTTGTTTCCCTCTATGTGTCCATGTGTTCCCACATAGATGCATTTATAACGTCAGTTGAGTTGGGTGCTTTGTCTTTGGCTTTGGGGTGATGCAGTAATCTAGTCTTTGTATTATTTCTTCAGCTTGAATCATTTTCAGAATTCTTCAGTGGCTTATGTTGGTGGGAATGCTAGGGGGCTTTACTAGGAATGGAGACAACAGATGGTCTGGTTCTCAGGCTTCCAGAGGTTGAGTGATGGTGGTGGCAGTGATAGGCACTGTTAGGGTCAGTCCTTGTCTATGTTTATTCATTTAATGTCTCTTTCCTGCAAATTTAGAAGATAGATACTATTTTCCCCATTTGACCAATAAGGAAATCAAGACATAAAGGTTAAGCAATTTGCTTGCATTTCTGACAACTGGGCGCGTGTATTACTAACCACATTGCTTGTTCCTAACCACTTCACTATACTATTTCTTAAGGGTATTAATTTGCCAAATTTAGGAAACATGCAATCTTGCAACCTAAACCAATCACAAGTATAGTAACTGTAATATTATTAAGAAAATATCAGCTCTCATTTAGACCACATATGGAAACTCTATGAGAAAATATTTTCTAAAGAAATGGGTAATTGTTCCTGAAAGAAAATAAGGGTTCTGGGCCAAAACCAGAAAGCATTAGTTATAAGAGTCTCACATTATAATATACATTATACATTTAATGTATATTAAACTTTTCTAAACCGTCTCTTTCATCTTGTTTCTTCTCAATTCTCTCTCATTTACACTTTCTTTTGGCCTCCTTACACATTCATGCCACTTGTCCTGGCTGGGTACAAGGTTCTCTTCTTTCGCAAACTTCCATTCTCTCACTTCTCTTCTCTCCTCTCCTCTTTTTCCAAAAACTACATTTAACTGGCCCTTGACCATTGAGTTATTTGGCTTCTTGAGGGACCTAAGCAGTCTCATATCATGCTCTACTAGCACATTACACACCTTATCCCAAAACATTGTAATTGTCTGATTCTTCCATTGGACTGTGTTCTCCTTTTGGCATTTACTCATCTTTGGACTCTGTAACCAATTGATTACATCAGATGATTGAATAAAGAGATGAACAAAGAAATCAGATGGAAATAATAGCTGCTCAATAAAATCTCTTAGTCATTGACTCATTCCTTACTTCTTAGGGTGTGGGAAAAATAGTTATTGCATGTATACTAGGTTCTATACCACTGTGCAAACTTAACCTAAAATGGATAGCTTTATGAATCTTCCTCATAATCAACAAGCTACAGATGGAAAAAATAAACTCATAGAAACTAAAGAAGTTATCTAAAGACATACCCCCTCTGGGTCATTAATCTACAATTGAATCAGATTCTATTTGACTTTAAAATATAGTTTTCTTCCATAATACTGCACTTTATATAAGAATAACCATAGGCTTCTCTAAAGAAAAATGATTCTGATCAATGACTTTTCAACTTGTCACAAACTCTCTAAGCATGTACAACAGATATATAACATGATCATCTAGTTAGCAAGTAATGTATTGATTAGCCAATTGATAACTAAGAAACCACAAAGCAAACCCATTAACTTGGGGATCAAATCACAAAGGAAAACCTGTTGTTTCCAAAAATGTTTCTATTTGTTAATTTGTGTAGCCTGAACTTAGAAATTTATGCACTGTATGCGTGAATACAAAGTCACCATGTTTCAAATGATAATGATATCAAAGCACTCAAAACCCTGAGGTGCAACTGTGGCACAATAACCCTTAGCTGCAGTTTTCAAAGCCAGTGGCATGTTTTATAATTGAAGAATCATTTGGAACCCAGGGATCATTCTTCCTTTGTCTTTACTTATTTAAAAATCTCAAGTTTTCCTGTTTTCAAACAGGCTTTATTCTTTCCTTTTTTTTTTTCCTTCCATTGTGTGTCTTCAGCAGAGGAATACACCCCTAAGGAATGAGCTGCTAAATGAACCTACTTTTAAAAATCCTAAGTATGAACAGGCATTGTTTTAGATAATTATTTATTTATTTGTTGCTATGATACCACAAATCCTTGCTGTGCTGCAAGGAGTGGGAGTCCAGGTGTAAAAATAAGAAATGCTGCTTTTAAAATTGCTGTGCTATAAATTTTTCAAAGTTTAATACGCATCCAAGCATAACTGGTACAATTCAAGAAAAAAAATCTATAAATCAACTCATGCAAAAAACATCTGCTTGCAACAACTTCCACCCTTTAACAGAAAATCCTTCAAAGACTCAATCAACAAGACAAGACTCACACAATGGAAGGATAGTCCCTGCTCATGAGAGATGAAGCTGGAAAGGCAAGCTGCATCTGCACATCTCCACCAGGGCAATGCTGTGAGATGTGGGTGCGAGTCAGTAAGTGAGGGGTGGTTATCTCTTGGATTTAGGGCCCACCTGGACAATTGTGGGTGCTATAGAGACTGTTCTGACAGAAGTCAGAACTTTAGAAAGAAAGAACTTTATCTGAAGGTCGGGGGCAAAGTAGGAAGTGACACTGGTCCACATTCTTAATTGCAAACAACGAACTATTTGGTAAATGTAAGCAGAAAATATACTTATTAAAGGATCCTAAAGTATCTAATACATTTCTGGAAGGTTCAGAGACTTAGGCTTGAGTGTCAGCAGTCAGGAACAAAGTACCAATATACCTCCAGACTCTATCCTAGTTTGCCATGACTGTCTCTAGATTTAAAACTGAGAATCTCATATCCTTGGAGCCCCATCAATCCCAGGAAAACACAGAGATTTCATCACTATCATGGCAGAACTGGGTTCTGTACCATCTTAGATACTGAGCATAGACTCTTCCACTAGAACCACAGATAACCATTCCTCTAGGAAATGGTTGAGACCACTGCTACTACTTTCACCACCGGAATCAGTCTGGCAGGGTTCTTGCTTCTTGGTGTTCCTAGCTTCTGATCAAGTTGGGAGCACCTAATTAGTAGATCCTGGGACCCATCAGTAAGGCAAGATGGGAAAGAGCTTACCTGGAGCTTACTGGTTAAGAATAGGAGGATTTTCTAAACACAAAAGAGGGATTTATGTGTTGGATTGTCTCACACAATGACAACTCTCAACTTCAGTGGCTCTTGCAATGGACTCAGTGAGAGATGGTCAATAGCTGAACAAAGACTTGAAAAGAATGTTTGAGAAACATTTAGAAGGAAATTGCAAATGTTCAACTGGGTAAATATGGCTGAGGTAGAAGAACCAATTGTCACCTCAAAATTTCTCGATTAAATATCTGGATGTATTTTGTTGCAACCTACTAAAATCAAGACTTTAGGAGAAAGGTAATGAGGTGAGTTTCCATTGAGCTTGAGATGCCTCTCAGGCATTCAGGTGGAAAGGCTCTTTTAGCTGAAGCTAGCAGAAGTGCCAAATTATCCCTAATTCGTGGGTGGGGGATGAGGGTTATTGCAGCTAATAGATGGTATTTAATGCAGCCAAAGTAATAAAGCTAGAAACAGTTTTTGAACCTAAATCTGATTCTAGGTACTTGTTTTTCCCAGTGCTTCACACCGTTAAGATATTAACAAAAAAGTCTTTACATCATCTGTGTTCAATGGCATACACATGTAATTTCTGATTTCAGAAGAGGAGAAGGAAAGCAAAAAAATAATAATAATAGTTGTCTTAAAAATGACATTTCTCTATGGTAATCATCGAAAACAATTTCAAACTGAAATATTATTTTTACTTTGAAAAATAATAAAAGTGAGCTTCTGCAAAATTAATTTGCTCAACATTACCTAGCTGGTAAACTGAATTAGATGAACTTTTATTACTCTTTTTTGTATTGAAAGCTTATGGCTTACAGTGGCAGTTTTGAAACTTGGGACTCTGGACCAAAAGCATCAGCATCACCTGGGAACTTACTAGAAATGCAAATTCCCTGACTCCACCCACATCCCACTGAAACAGAAACTCTGGGAGTGGTGCCCAGCAATCTGTTTTAACAATTCTTCCAGTGATTCTGATGCATGCTCAAGTTTGAGACCACTGGTTCACATCATCCCAGATACGAGGACAATTAAAAAGTGACTTTTTTTTTCCATTTTTGGAAGAGATAAATATTGAAAATGAGATGCCGTTTATAAAGCCAATAGCAGAGTGCCAGGTATATATTAGATTCTAAATTACTCTAATTGAAATATGATGAACCTAATAATTCAAATAGCAAACCAAACTCTACCGAAGGCATTTTAATATGCTTAAACTAAAATAAAAAAAAAATCTTTAGTTTAAATTTAATATACATTTATGTCTTTGGATTTTCAATTTTTTAATAAAACTTTTCATGGCTTTCACTAATGTAAAAGTGTTGCTTTACTAAAACTATTTGCCTTTAGGCTTCCTTATCAAATCTTTATATAACAACAGTTAGGAGTCTCAACATCTGAAGTGGATTCTGGAATTCTGAGGAGCCCAGATTTATTTGTTTCTGTTTCTGATAAAGTTCTGTTACCAATACGTGTTCATTTTCTGTTAATACTGGAAGTCTAGCTCCCAGAGGTAGTACATTTTGGCTCACTGAAGATAGTCAAGAAAAGGCTTAATGGCCACTTTTGTTGGTAATCCAGAGAAGATTCATGAACTGAAAAGAAGAAAGCATGAGATATGTTTTTAGATCCCCTCCAAACTTGAGAGTCCAGTTTTCACTGAAGTGTATGATATAATGAGAGGGATGTTAATCAGCCGTACTTCCCACATTCTGGGCCCAATTTTGCTCCATTCTACCTGGGAAACCTCGGGTCGGTAACATAGTGCTCTACTCCTAAGAGTCTTCCTTTATGAAACGAAGTACTTAGACAGTAGGACAGCAAAGGCTCCTACTACTGCCGGCATGACTCTAAAAAAGAAAGATTTACCAAATAATAAAGAAATATTACATAAGGGATGGAAGAGAATCTGATCACTACCGTGTTGTGTTTCGCAGAACACTGTAAATTGTTCCCCTGCAGATGCAGATGTTATTTATTACACTGTAGATAAATTCAGAAATGTAGTTTACCCTGATTTACCATTATGCCTAATTGTTTTGAAGGCTAGTGCAATGAAGTCAGCCCTATGTGCTCCTTTGTTGTAATATTTAAAAGTGAATGCTGCACTGATTCCAGTGAAGTTTCTCTGTAGGAAAATCTTCTAGGTTTTTAGCCTCAAGACTCAGAAATGAAGGTATTGCTACACTAGAGGATCTAATTATAAGAGGTACCTTTTTTTTTTAATTTCATCACATCCTTTGGGCCATCCAAGTTCTAAAACTCAGTATGTATATGTATGGTTTCTAATTCTCAGAATAACTGTAGAGAATTTAACAACCCATCTTGCAAATGAAGACATTATATCAAAACAGAGAAATGAGTTGCTGAGTTTGCCATAGGAAGTAGAAGATATAATTTGGATCTAAACTCACTTTCACTTGACTCTCTCTCCCAAAAATGAGCAATTGAGCAGACTCAGTTGAGCATCTACGGTCTGCTGTATGCCAAGCTTTTTATGTTTATTTACCTCTTTGGCTGCAACACCTTTCAGTAGGTCTTATTACTAGCACTACACCACTAGATAGGAAACAGTTTGCCCAACGTCACAGCCTTGGGTAAGGGGAGACTTGGCTGTAAACCTAAATGTTGAAGTCCATCTCCAAATGCAGTGCAAAGCGTATAGAAAGTCAAGCAGGAAAGCCACTGATTAAATAATGAAAAATAATCTATGGGCATCTAGCTAAGAATGAATATAAGGGATTTTGTAATTTCTTCTCATACGTAATGACATTTTACAATATTAAGTAATGATAAAGCCTGAGAAAATATTTCACTATACCAGAACAAAGATTTCTGAAAATCACCTTTAAGATTAGTTGTTTGCCTTTTAGTAGATATCAGGTATTCCCTGCCCTTCAGGGACACATGGATCACATTCCAGATAAAAAATGTGTTTGTAGAGAGTTGTCGTGCCTCAGTACTAGCTTTTTTCTTTCTGATTACATCTGTTCTGGAAATGCTGAACAACTATTCCACTTTGTTTCAAACAATGGTGGGTGATGAAATATCATAGGAAAAAGTAAAGAGGATTAAATTTTATAGTTTTTTAAAATGAAAATAAATTATATGAAATTTGAATTTGCATCCCTGGGGACTGTGAATATATCTCTTTTAAAGTTATTGTTGACAGTATTGGATAAAGCAGTTTTGAGCCTAAAATAAATTGGGCCAGTTCCTTCTTCACTTAACAGATGAGAAAAATGGTTATATCCTATGTAACAAACCTGCACATTCAGCACATGTATCCCAGAACTTAAAGTAAAATAAAAAATAAAAATAAAAAATAAATGACTACATCAGCTTGTTCCAAGGTTATAAAACTAGTTAGAAGTGTGAGTTACTTGTTCTGTTAGTCTTAATCATACCAAATTTGGATTTTATACTGCCATGCAATGTGAAGGCCTATGCTTCAAATCCCAGCTTTATTTATGTACAAGCTGAGTATTTTATATGATATTTATGATGATTAATTGTAGTTGTCAATTTGACTAGACTAAGAGATACCCAGACGGCTGGGCAAACATTATTTCAGGGTATGTCTGGAAAGGAGTTGCTGGAAAAGATTGGGACTTCAATCAGTGGACTGAGGGAGATTCACCTTTATCTAATACGGGCAGGCATCAACCAATCCATTGGAGGCCTGGATAGATCAAAAGGGCAGAAAGGTAAATTTGCTCTCTTTTCTGGAGCTGGAAAATCTATCTTCTCCTGCCCTTAGACAGCAGATGTACTTCAAGTTCTCCAGTCTTTGGACTCTGGGATGTGCACCAATGGCCCTCTGGGTTCGCAGGCCTCTGGCTTCTAACTGAAAGTTATGTTACCTGGTTTTCAGGCCTTCAGACTTAGACTAAGCCATGCTACTAGCTTTCCTGGTTCTCCACCTTATAGGAGGCACACTGTGGGACTTCTCAGCCTACATAATTGTGTGAGCCATTATAAATTATCTCTATCTATCTATCTATCTATCTATCTATCTATCTATCTATCTATCATCTATCTCCTGTTGGTTATGTTTGTCTGGAGAACGCTAATACAATATTTAACTTCTACTAAACTAAATTTTTTTTAACTTTGGGATGTATGAATAATACATACTTCATATTTCATAAGGTTTTGTGACAATAAAATAGTGCATGTACATATTTTTGGTTCAATAGAAGAGCTCAAAAACTTTTAAATCCTTTCCCTTCCTCCCAATTTTCCCTCTAAATTATAAATAGTTACAAAAAAATAGTATATGGCATAAATAGCTCTCTGAGTCAACCAAGAGTTTCCTGAGCATACCCACGTAGCATATCTGTTGTTTTTAAATCAGGATGTCCCTTTGTATTTCAGAAACTTGGAGCAAACCTCTCTTGACAGATAAACTCTCTTGGCAGCATATTTATTTCAGGGATGCTCATCTCTGGCCTGCATAGTGGAATTGCACAAGTAATGCAGAACCACTTGATATGGTAAGCACAGATGACAAGTGCTGATGAGGTTAAGAAGAGACTTTGAAAGGAAATTAGATAATCTCCATTGAAAAAGAAAATAAACCTCAGAGTTCTATACTTCACAGAAAGATTATGTCCTTAAAAATTCATGAATAAAAGGCTCAGCAGGGAAGAACCAAGGTAATAGTAAGTTGGAAAAGCTCATGGGCTCTGGTACCATAGAACTAGGGTATGAGTCTGAGATATATAACTTATGCAAGTTGTGGAAATGTGTTTGAGTGTATCAGTTAGCTATTGCTGCATAACAAAATACCCCAGAACCTACTGGCTTAAAATAATAGTTACTTATGTTTGCTGAAAAATGTATGGGTTAGCATGGTGGTTTGATAGATCTAAGTTGGGCTTGGCAGAACTTACTCATCCATCTTTGGTTAGCTGCAGGTTAAGTAGGCAGCTTTTCTTATGTTGGTCTTTCTCAAATGTCTAAAGTCTCAACTGAGATAACCAGGCTGACTCAGCTCTGTTCCAGATGTCTAATCTCTCCCAAAGGCTATGATGTGCCTGTTCTTATACTGAAGGCAGAAGAACAACGGAGAGAAAAGAAATACATAAGACATGTTGAAGCTTAGGCATGAGACTGAGAGAAAGTGTGTTGCACATTGGAACTGCAGAGTTAGTCTGCATGACTTAAGATCCAGATATGTGTATTTTATTATAATAATTATCATTACTATTTTCTTTTCCAGCTAACTCTGATACACAGGTAGAATTAAAGATAATGGTTTTATTGTTTGAATTATATATTGATTATAGTATTTTTATTGAAATGTTACAAATACACCAAACAGAAATTGGAATAAACAAAAAAGTGACATTGTTAGCTCACACAACTGAGGATTTCCAAGTTAAATATAACTTCAGTCATGGCTAGATCTAAGGGCTGCAAAGACATGGTCTCTGTTTCTCTTTCTCCAACTAGGTCCTTGTCTTGCCATTGTAGAAGCCACATTGTATAGATAGGATCTTTCCATATGGTGAAAAAACTGGTTATCAGCAGTTTCAGTAGTCCTTAGAACTTTCTTCACTACAAGAAGTAAAACAAAAACAAAAAGAAAAAGAAAAAAGGAGAGAGGAGAAAAAGAGAGTGTTTCTCTTTTCTGAAGCTCAGACAAATCTCATTATGAACTCTCATTGGCTCAACTTGGATCACATAACCACACAGGAGCTTGGATAAGGGCAATGAACACATGTGGATTGAGAATGAAGGGAGTATGAGTTTTCAAAAGGAAATCGGAGCGATATCACCAGAAGAGAAAACGGAGACTGGGTAGGCAAAAAAAATAGCAATTGTCTACAACAGATGATATATTCTGCATCTGCGTTTCCACAAAATGCTATTATACCCCTTTTTATGCTTTTGTAATAATGTATTTTATTCTGATGTATACAGTGTTTATCACTTTCTTGAGCACAAAGAAAATGAACTATATCTCATCTTGTTGGTGTCCCTAGCACTGTGCATGACACATAAGTATGTCTTTGTTATATCTATTTTTTAAAGCTATTTTGTTAGGAGTTTTAATCTCCAATTCCTTGTTGTTAAAGTCAGAAGAGACATACACATGATTCTCTTTTTTTCATAATTATTATTACCTCTGGACTCACCCCTATATTTTTATTTGGTGTCTGTAGCTCTGGAGAGTTGGATGAAACAGAAGCCTCCTTTGCCCTGATGAGAATCAAGTCAGGCTGCCTGAATGTTGGGGTTATTCTACAAGACTCACATCTCAATCTTGAACAGACAGGCTCAGAATTTTATTTTCTTAGGGTGGTAGTAAATAAAAGAAGACAAAATGTTAAATCCTAGAACAAATCTGGTCCATGCATCCTACTTTTAAGTTTGTATATATTGGCTTCCCATCGTAATTTTAGATAGTCTTTCAAGCAGATCGAGATTACCTCACTAGGAAAAAAAATGTGATATCACAGTACTAGCTACAATGGAAGGAAGAAAGAGAGAAAGCATACAGACAGGGATAGCTGATCAAATGTTGCAAGAGAGAGTGAACCATGGGAAGAAAAATCTATTAATATTTTCACTTTTTCCTGAAAGCTTCAGATACATTATGTCACATATCTTTATTCCCTTCATCCAAATCAGAGTTTATCTCCTTGGCTTCTCCTGCCCAAGGTCCTCTTTGGACTCTTGTTAAGCCCCCACCACTACCATGGTGACCAATTCTACAGGGACTAGATTAGTCAACATTGAGGCAACCCAATGTAAATGTGACTTATCCCAGCTGATACAAAGGCACAGCTCTGAGATAACAACTAGGATTCTAATTATTCCCATCAATACTAGGTCTGAGTACTATCGCTTACCCAAAGGCTTCTGTAGGAAATAGGAGATACTTCAAAGACATGTGGAGATATAACTTCCCATGAACTAATCCTCAAGTGTTAAGAACTTTGACCAATGAAAAACATAAAAGAGAACACACAGGCCAGGCACAGTGGCTCATGCCTGTTATTCCAGCACTTTGGGAGGCTGAGGCAGTTGGATCACTTGAGGTCAGGAGTTCAAGACCAGCCTGGCCAACGTGGTGAAACCCCATCTAAAAATACAAAAGTTAGCTGGGTGTGGTGGCATACACTTGTAATCCTAGCTACTTGGGAGGCTGAGGTGGGAGGATCACTTGAACCTGGGAGATGGAGGTTGCAATGAGCTGAGATTGTGCCTCTGCACTTCAGCCTGAATGACAGAGAGCAAGACTCAGACTACCCCTACCAGCCCACCCAAAAAAAAAGAGAACACACAGATAAATTGACTCTCCATCCTTCCCACGACTACCTTTGCCTGTATCTGCCAATATCCACTCAGAAGATAGAAACTGCATGTTCAATTTTAACAGACAAAAATTTAACAAAAATACTTTTAGTTAGATCAAAGGTATTTGTATTAGTTTTCTCTAGCCGCATAAAAAATACCATAGGCTAGGTGGCTTTAACAACAGAAATATACATATATTTTTACAGCCTGGAGGCTAGAGGTTCAAGGTCAAGATTCTGGCAGATCCAGTTGCTGGTGAGGGCTCTCTTCCTGGCTTACAGACAGCTGCCTCTGTCCCTGCCCATGGTCTTTTCATGGTGTGTATGTGCATGGTGGAGTGTGGAGGGGCTGGAGGGGAGCTCTCTGGTGTCTCTTCTTATGATGAAACGAATCATATTCCATTAGAAGGATCAGAGTACCACCCTATGATCTCATTTAACCTTAATTATTCCTTACCCCAAATACAGTCACACAGGGGATTCAAAGTTCAACATACAAATATTGGGAATATTGTGGGAAAGGCACATACATTGAGCTCCTAATCACACTTAATTATAAAAAAAGGAAAAATAAAATTCTAAGGTGCGAGGAATTCATAACTATTGAGAACAGAAACATTTTCTTCCTCTTCTAGTCCTGTAGTTTCCCTCTAGCGTCTGCAACGGCAAGGGAGAAATGCTGTCTTTGGAATCTGGTTCCAGGATCACAAGCAAGGCAAAGCACAGTTGGTTTGGAGCTGAGAGACAATAAAGGGGTTACTAAATATAATACTGAGAGTTTCTAACGTTCTTCCTTGGTTCTTTTTCCTTCAGCCCTGGGGAAATGCAAGACTGAGATTCAGCCCTACAACAAGAGGCACAGCTGCCACAGAAACACATTGCCCACTGGTGTGGAGACAAGAAATGAGATAGTGTGTTGGTCCAAGAATTCCTGCCAATGTGGTAATGAAGAAATGACCTGGACACCCCTCAGCTAATCTCAAGAGCAGCCTACCACCATGACAAAGGCTGTCGGGATCCCTGCATTAGATCCCCTTGCCACTACACAGAAGACTCGAACACATGCTCTCCCTTTCCTTGCCTTGAAGTGTCCTCCTAGAACCTGCTATGGCACGCAAGAAAAAATACAGTCTGCAGAGTCTACTTCCAATATCACAAACAAGGAGAAGCAGAGGGAGTATGGAACTGAGAATCAGTAAATTAATAAACCTCAGAGTCCATCCTTTGGTTGACTTAGCATCCATGAGTACTCTTCTACACATGCTTTCTATTTTAAAAAAAAAATCAATGTTTTTACTTTACAAGAGGCAGCTAACCTCTATAGAAGTGTCCAGGCTCACACATTCTCCCCCAAATGAGAAAACACACATTCCAGACAGTCATTGTATTAATTGCTGGCTATATTATTTACTTCTCAAAATTAATCACAGTGCCAATAAATATTCTGGTACTAAATAATAATGTGAAATTTAACCTGTAGAAAACTTGTGATATGGTTGCTGCTGTGTCCCCACCCAAATCTCATCTCGAATTGTAATCCCCATGTGTCAAGGGAGGGACCTGGTGAGGGGTGGTTAAATCATGAGGGTTGTTTTCTTCCATGATGTTCTCATGATATGAGGGAGTTCTCATGGGATCTGATGGTTTAAAAGTGGCAATTTCCCCTGGGCTCTCTCTCTCTCTCTCTCTCCTGCTGCCTTGTGAAGAAGGTACCTGCTTCCCCTTCGCCTTCCACCATGATTGTAAGTTTCATGAGGCCTTCAGAGCCATGAGGAACTGTGAATCGATTAAACCTCTTTCCTTCATAAATTACCCAGTCTCACGCTGTTCTTTATAGGGGTGGGAAATGGACTAATACAATTCGTATAAAATTACAGGGGGAAAAAGAGAAAATATTTAACATGTAGAAATATAAACAATAGTTAATATGTAGAAATATATATAATATTTATATATTTATATATAATATATATAAAATATACATAAAATATATATAATAAATATAAAATATACATAAAATATATATAATAAATATATAATAAAATATATATAATATATATTTCTACATATTATATATGTAAAATATGTATATGTATGTGTGTTTGTGTATATATATATATATATATATATATATATATATATACACATACAGTCAAGGAGAAAATGTGCAAATTGCTTATAGTTATTGTTTTTGCAGTTGCCTCTGAGGTCATAGTTGATAGCTTTCTTTTTTCCAGTACTCATTCCATATTCCCACCACCCTTAGCCAGGAATTCAGATGGTCAAAGTTCTTCATTAGTAGAATGATTCAAAACTTTATTCCTGAAGGGCCTGAATGATTTTTGGTCTTGCCTTATTTTGGTTCTTGCAATTTTCCATTACCTTCTACTATTGGCAATGGAAATATTAAGAGAATCCAAGAATATTCTGTAGATTCCAGATATAGCCTTCTTGTCTCCATTGTGTAGCAGCTACCCAGTTTCCTCTTTATTATTGGGATCAACTACTCCAGTCAGCATCCTAACACCCATTTTTCCCTATTAGTCCAGTAACACAAAGATCCCCAAATAATCAGAGATAGGTCTAAACTTTCAATTCATTGAGATTGTTTTTGTATCTCCTGTTAGAAACATTTTTCCCCTTGTGAGCTAAGGCCTCCAACCATCATATCTGAAAGTTTCCAGGATGGGAACCAAAAATTCTGTGAAGGGGTTATCAAGTATAATAAAGAGAGAAGCCACCCAAAATATACCATTTTTCTAGCTCCATTGATTTTAGCTATATGAAAGAAATCACCATACACTGCTGATTGAATTTATTTTAAAGAGTATACTATGCCCTGTAATATAGAACTTGATCTTTTTAGTATGGTATCTTCAAATTGGCAGGATAATTGAATCTTCAGTAAGCAAGTCCATCTTCTTTTTCCACCAGTGCTTCTGGATAACGGGGTGTATAGTATGACCACTTAATTCCATGGCCATAAACCCAGTAACATACTTTGCTGTGAATTGACTCTCTGGATCAGAAGTAATGCTGTGTGGATTGTCATAATCATGAATGAGACAGCCTTAGAGTTCCACATATGGTGATTCTAGAAGAAGCACTATGACTAGTAAAGGCAAATCCATATCCAGAATATATGTATATTCCAGAAAAGACAAATCTCTGCTCCTCCATAATGAATAGGATCCAATGTGCTCAAGCAATTTCAAGTTATCAACTGCTTAAGAATCCATGCAAATTTATATTTATGGTTATATCTCTGTCTAGACAAAATAGATAATCTAATGTATCACTTGAAATTCTGTCTCCTGGGGAGGTTGTCAAACTGGGAAACTCTGAAGTAGGGTTGTTGGGCTGCAGTTATTCATGTTTGTGCTAGAATATTGGGCTGAACCATCAGTAAAACAAGTCTGAGTTTTTCCACACCAGGTCATATAAGGAGAAATTAAATGAGAACAGGTAATGTTGTGGTTATCTGTTTCGAAGGAGCTGACTTTATCTGTGCAAATAACTTTCTTGTGCCCTTTAGACCAGCTGAAGCCTAATTTCCTGTGCACTATTTTCCCCTTGATAATTTTTTTTTCATACACTCAACTTTATGGTTTGGTGAGTCAAATAACAACAAGAACATGATAAGAAACTCAGCTTACACGGCCATATCTGATGTCCCATATTAAGTATTCAGCCTCTCCTATGACCCAGTAGCAAGCCGAGGGCTGTTTATAAAATATAAATAGTTATCCATAGAAGACGGCATGGATTTATTAGAAACCATAGAGGCTTGCTGTGTGATTTTCCTATCGGTTCTTTCGAGAGGTTAAATATACCACCTCTACCAAACCACAGACACTTTGGGTACCATTCGCTTTGCTGGATCTTAAGTTCCAGTTAGGAGAAAAGCTTGCATTGAAGCTTAGACTTGGTACAGAGCCTTCTCTTAATTCTGTTTATAACTGATGTCTGGTAAGTTTATGGGTGACTCTAAAGATTGGCCACAGAAACACACTTAAATATGATATGTGCTGCCTCTAAAATCCAGAAAAAAGGTGCAGTAATGCTTGTGCATCCTTTTTCTTTTCATTTTTGGGGTAGATGGTTCAAAAGGTAGCAACTTGCCTATTATCTTTGAAGAGCTATCTTTACATGCTCTTGACTATTCGACTTCTAGGAATTTCACTGAAGTAGTGGACCCTTGAAATTTTGTTCAAATTCTCTCTGTTTCTCTGGTTCTTGTAAGTACTACCAAGGCATTTAATATAATTCTGCTCATCAGATCCATAGTAGCACAGATGTGGAGGATTGGTATGATGATGCTTGGAATGTCAGAATGGTCAATAACTCCGCAGACTATATTAGGCAGAGAAAAGAAGAGTTGGTCCAGTCCTGTAACAAGATTCTAAAAGGTATACTATTAGATCTGGTATATACTATCAGACTGCTTCTGATGCTCCTTGAAAATTACAAAGGGAGAAAAACCATTAGGCCAACAGCTGCATTTTGAAAGGGACTATTTTGATTTGCTTCCCAATTATACTATATATGTAGTATCAGCTGCGATTGGATTCATAACTTGGGTATATTGGTGCTAAAGTTTTTTTCAAGACACATTCAACTTTGCACAGGCCAAAGAGGCAAATTAAGTGAGAATATCATATGGTTTTATAATCTTGCATATTTCAGGTATTTGATCCTTTGCAATTTCCATGAAAATAAAATATTGCTCCTAGATTAACATGCATTACCATAATTAACATCACTACAAAGAGAAAGCTACATAATCTTTTTCTTACCCCTTCCTTACTGTAATGGCCACTATCCACAGGTGAAAAAGCCAAAATGGGGTTTCTACAGATTTCCAAGTATGTCTGTGCCAATTATTAATTTAGAAATTAGGAATATAACCATATATTGATATAATAAAGTCACCAAGATCCTGTAATTTTAACTTCAGCTAATATTTAATTTATCGTATGATTGCAATAAGTATCCACTTTGGTCAGGCAAATTAGCATTTTGGGTTCCCAGGAATTAGGGTCAATTTTCAACCCATGTTTAGTTGTTTTCCCATTGTAGCCACTGTAGAAAATGGCTTCAGGTCCCTACAGGAAAGACTTGGAATATTATTTAACATTACACACTGTGAAACTGCTAGGGGATATTTTCTTAATATGATCAAGTCTTTGAACCAGTTTAGATTAAAAACTTGCAAAGGGCTATGACTCTACACTGTTGCAACTTTGAGTCCGGTTTTTGGCTTCCAGACCTAGAAAGCCTTGCGCTATAAGTGTAAAGTGATACTCCAGTAGGCTACCTGTTTCATTTATGGGGAAACAGTGACCAAAGACACAGTGATTCACCACTGTTTTCCTGCTGGTTTTACACTAACTGTGCCTACCTTGGTTTTAGGGGTTTAGTGCTGCCACCTCATCTTTCCCAGCCTGGTATCCCATCATCCCCACTGAAATTAGGTGGATCTATGTTAATGGAACCATCTCCTCTGGTCAATGTGACCCAATGAAGAGAAGCACCTTAGTCCATTTGCGAAGCAATAATGGAATGCCTAAGACTGGGTAATTTATAGCAAACAGAAATTTATTTCTCACAGTTCTGGAGGTTGTAAGTCCAAGATCAAGGCACAAGCAGATTTGGTGTTGGGTGAGAGCTGGGTCTGTGTCCAAGATGGCATGTCGTTGCTACATCCTTCAGAGGGGAAGAGTGCTGTGTTCTTACACCTCAGAAGAGACTGAATGGGCAGAGAAAAAAAAAAGGTGAATTCCCTCTGTCAAGCTCACTTGTAAGGGCACCTAATGCCATTCATGAGGGTGGAGCTCTCATGGCTCAATCACCTTCCAAAGGCCACACCTCCCAATACTGGAGGACTGTTACGTTGAGGATTAAGTTTCAACATGAATTTTGGAGGAGGCAAAAACATTCAAATCATAGCAGAGCATTTCAAAAATGAAATTGCTCTACACTCTAATATGTTTTTCTATGTCTCAGTGAAAAGAATGTCTCCTGGGTTGTCTCAAAGAATATAGTTAAGAGACAAGGGTTCAGATTGCATATGGTAAATCAACTAGAACATTTTTATTTCTTACAGATAATAGATTCCTTCTTTCACATCATGTCAAGGAAGTTTTGCCTCTGAACAAGTGAGTTTTCAAGCCACTTACTGCCACACAAATTAATATATGAAATCCAGAATCTCTGCTAAGTGACTCCATATCAATGAATTTGTCCTGGACTAATATTGTGCCCCATTCTCATTGGGGTAACACACTTGTAATCTATACTCACACCTAATTCCTAAATTTACATTGGGGTAAATACACACACAAGCACACATACACAAATATATAATACAAATATTACATACACACATATATAATACCCTCTGAAGATGTTCTGTGAGGCTTTGCCATCAGTTGTGCTTGTGGGGAATCTGTGAGCAATTCAGAAACGTACATCATTTTATTGATTCTCCCTTCCTCCCTGACTCGCTCACTTTTTGCTATCACTTTCCTAGGGTTGTATTCACAAATACAGAGTGAACATGCAAGTTTTCGCCATGGGCTCCATTTCTAGGAAACATGGGTTAATACAATGAGCAATGGGTATTCAAAATATTCCATTAGTAAACAAGTAAATAAATAAATCAATGGATCTATGGATTACTCAACAATTTTTAGAGTTCCTATTATGTGTCATATATTGTGAATGTATTATGAAGAATATAAAAATAATTCAAACAAAAGTCCTTAGAATTTGGCCATTCTACCAGAAAGATAGGCATATGTAGAGATCAGCATCCTAAGCATCATCGCATGGTGAGACAACAGTAAGTCAAAGGCAATTGAGAATCAAAGGAGGAAAAAAATTCATTCATTGATTGATTCACATGTTCAATACACCTGTTCTGAGCAGTTAATATAAGCAGATAATGTGCTCAGCTGGAGACATAGGAATAAAAATGTGATCCCTTTTCTCAAGTTTTTTTTTACATCATTTGACAACCACATTCCCTAAATGTGCATAAGCCCTAAAAATAGAGGTATGATTGAATGTCACTGGAGCTGGGAGAAATGACACCTAATGTAGCTGGTGAAAACTTCATAGCAGAAGGTCCTGAAAGACCAGTACCCAAGCTAGCAGGCATTCTTTATAAGGACATAGAACTGATGGACTGGAGAACTGCAAGACACATGATTACACAAATGATGTATTATGAAGGTCAATTGGCAGAAAATGTAAGTTTGTTGAATCACACGACAGGACTGAAGATTTGCTAGGGTGATGGGATTCTGCTCTTTGTGTAATGGGTAACTCCTAAAAGATTTTAGGAAAAAGTGACATCATCTGGTATCTATTTTAGTAGAAATCCCCCTAACTGGGAAATGATAAAAATGTATGTCAGGGCACAAATATTGAGGCAGAGAAAACAGGCTGTTGCAATAATATGAGTGAGAATAAGTATAATGGTACCTGTAAGGTGGGGGGTGGCGGTGGGGTCCCGATAAACATGAGACAAGTGGATTCCAGAGATTTTAGAAGATTGAATCAATAGAACGTGGCAACTGATCGTGCATATAGGGGGTGATGAAGGAATGTCATAGCCAAGGACAAATACCGGATAAAGGCAGGTCTCTAAATTTACTGCTTGGAAGAAGCAAGGTAATGGAGAACATCAGAGAAGCTCCTGCATTGGTGATGAGTTTGTTTTTTATTTATTTTTTATTTTTATTTCAATAGTTTTTGGGGAACAGGTGGTGTTTGGTTACATGGATAAGTTCTTTAGTAGTGATTTCTGAGATTTTGGTGCACCCATAACCTGAGCAGTGTACACTGCACCCAACGTGTAGTCCTTTACCCCTTAGCCCCCTCCTGCCCTCCCTCCTGAGTCCCCAGAGTCCATTGTATCATTCTTATGCCTTTGTGTTTTCATAGCTTAGCTCCCACTGATAAGTGAGAACATACAATGTGTGTTTGCTTTTTAATACCTGAGTTACTTCATTTAGAATAGTGGTCCCCAACTCCATCCTTATTTTATTTCTTTTTATGGATGAGTAGTACTCCATGGTATATATGTACCACATGATTTTTTATTTTTTTTCTTTTTGAGGTGGAGTCTCACTCTGTCACCCAGGCTCCCAGGTTGGAGTGCAGTGGCACTATCTCAGCACACTGCAACCTCTGCCTCCCGGGTTCAAACAATTCTCTTGCCTCAGCCTCCTGAGTAGCAGGGACAACAGACATGCACCACCATGCCTTGCTAATTTTTGTGCTTTTAGTAGAGAAAATGTTTCGCCATGTTGTCCAGGCTGGTCTCAAACTCCTGACCTCAGGTGATCCACCTGCCTCGGCCTCCCAAAGCACTGGGATTACAGGCATGAGCCACCAGTCCTAGACCTACCACATTTTTTTGTCTACTCGTTGGTTGATGAGCATTTAGGCTGGTTCCATATTTTTGTAATTGAAAATTGTGCTGTTATAAACATGAATGTGCAAATGTCTATTTCGTATAATGACCTCTTTTCCTCTGAGTAGATACTCAGTAGTGGGATTTCTGGATCAAATGATAGTTCTACTTTTAGTTTTTTAAGGAATCTCCACACTGTTTTCCATAGTAGTTGTACTAGTTACATTCCCACCAACAGTGTAAAAGTGTTCCCTTTTCACCACATCCATGCCAACATATTTTTTTTTATTTTTAAATATGGCCATTCTTGAAGGAGTAAGGTGGTATTGCATTGTCATTTCGATTTGCATTTCTCTGATAATTAGTGATATTGAGTATTTTTAAGATGTTTGTTGGCCATTTGCATATCTTGAGAATTGTCTATTCATGTCCTTAGCCTAATTTTTGATGGGATTATTTGTTTTTGTCTTGCTGATTTGTTTCCATTTCTTGTAGATTCTGGATATTAGTCCTTTGTTGGATGCATAGGATAATTGACACTCCACATGTAGAAGAATGAAACTGGATCCTCATCTCTCATCTTATATAAAAATCAACTCAAGAATTATCAAAGCCTTGAATTTAAGACCCGAAACCATGAAAGTTCTAGAAGATAACATCAAAAAAACACTCTTCTAGGCATTGGCTTAGGTAAAGAGTTCATGACCAAAAACCCAAAGCAAATGCAACAAAACAAAGATAAATGGATGGAACTTAATGGAGATGACTTTGAACTGATGTCTTACAGACCAAGTGTCAGTGATTGGTGATTTTCTATTGTTCTTCCTGAGGCTGAATGGTGTCTCCTCAACATCATTTTAAGTCACTGAGGGCAAAAATAGCTTAGAAAGCCCTAGAGGAAAAAAAGTCACTCCTAAACAATGGCAATTATTTTTCAGTTGGTTATTTTTGACTACCTGAAAATTAGCCCTATTTAGGGAAATGGAGTTAGAAGAAGGCTTAGTGGAATATATAGAGCTTGGGTACGAGTGATAAGCCTCAAAGAAGTATTATAAAAATTATTGGCTAAGAGTAAGGGTAAATCATAAAGTCAGGAGTTGGACCAAGACTCTTCAGATTCCATGCTTATTATCTTTCATCTACACATACTTTCTCTTAAGTGAAAACAGATTCATAGACTAAGTCCCTATTTTTAGCACTAACATTATTATCATGCTCAACACAAGACTGCCCAAATATATTTCTAGGAGTTAGGCATGTTGCAAAAAAGTGAAAATGACAGATATGGTGTGCTGCTTCCAGACTAGCTATTTTCTTCCATCTCCGTCATGGGACATAATTTCTATATATGGGCAAAGCCTATCTTTGTATACAGTCCATCAGAAGCAGCTCAGCTAGTCATCAAAGCTCATAAGCTAAAGAGACAACACTTACACAAGAACAATTCATGGTTCAGAGCTGATTAATCACACCTAATTAGCTGGCCTACTAATTGATCCCGGAGGCTGTCACCATTTAACCTCTGGTAAACGGGCTCAATACTTTCAAACTCTTCTGGAGATGAATGAGTAGAAACTCCATTGGTTGAAACCACATAATTCAATTAACTCATTTAGTGAATTCAAAGGTTAGTCAAACCATTTAAATACATATTGAGCTTCAAGAAGAAATTGACTTGGAATTTATCTTTTTCTTGTCTTTTGATAAACACTGTCTATATTTATGTCCAAACTTCAAGAAATGATAGCATAAAATAAGGTTGGTCCTGATCTACACTGGAATTTATTTCTTCTTATATTTTGTTCCTTCCTTTATTTTTTTCTTCAATTTTTTCCTCTTGTTTAATTTTCAATAAGCTGCAAACCCACTTTTTTTCCTAATAAGAAGGGTCTAGATTAACCCATCAATCTATGAAAGGACTTGAATGTATTATCATCCAACATTACAAAATAAAAAGGTAAAGAACAAATTGTCAAAATGCATGACAGATAATGGATCAATATTTTTAACATGTAAAAAAAACTCAGTGAGGAATTTTAAATACATAAAAGAAAAAATGAGAAAACGTATATGAATATTTCACTTGATTAATAATAAATGGAAATAGCCACAAAATACATAAAATATATTTTTTTAAATTCTCATCAAAGAAGTTCAAATTAAAGCATCAGTAAAACCATACTGTGTCAAAGGGCCAAGTCACTTTAAGCTTTTCCTGCATTAACAAATGATCTTGTAGAAAGATTCTACCAATTTGCAGAGCAACCAAAAATATAAATAAATTCCGATTTCTCACATAAGGTTGAGTATGCACGGACATGTGGAGATGTTTAATTTTTTTTTCAATTTTCAAGTACCAAACAGTAGGCTACAAATGACTCTACACAATATGATAACATTTCAGGCATTAAACCAATAATTTATATATTTAGGCTAAAAAGACTGCAACGAGCTGGTAGTGTTACTTTGTCTATGATGAAATTATAGGTATTTTAAAATTTATTTTATTTAATTGAATCTAATATTTTAAATGGGTAAATATTACCTTGGGAATATGGAAAGTTATGCTTTTTATTAGAGGATGTGAAGAAAAAGCCAATGGTAATGTTGACAAACTGATATGGTTTTGCTCTATGTCCCCACCCAAATCTCATCTTGAACTGTAGCTCCCATAATTCCTATATGTTGTGGGAGAAACCCAGTAGGAGATCATTGAATCATGCAGGTGGTTTCCCCCATACTGTTCTCATGCTAGTGAATAAGTCTCAGGAGATCTGATGGTTACATAAGGGAAAACCCCTTTTGTTTGGCTCTCATTTTTCTTTTTGCCTGCCCCCATGTAAGATGTGGCTTTTGCCTTCCACCATGATTGTGAAGCCTCCCAGCCAGGTGGAACTGTGGGTCCATTAAACCTCTTTTTCTTTATAAATTACCCAGTCTTGGATATGTCTTTATCAGCAGCGTGAAAACAGACTAATATACAAACATCTCTAGAATTGTGCCTGGTTTTCTCTCACTGTGGTTTCCCTGGCCATCTCTCACCTTCTTCTATCTGACCATCCACTTTTCATCTGGTTCTGTACAAAGCCTTTGATTTTCTACTCACATCCTTCTAGATTTTTAAAAACATAGACTCAGCATCGACCCTATGAAGAATCTAGGCTGTTTCTGCTCTCCCATATTTCTCAGTGTTGATCCCCTAAATTGCTTTGGTCCCTCTAAAATCAGTGGAACATCACACTAAACAACTGGAAGAAAAACATGAAAACAAAGCACCAAGGAGAAAATAGTTACTTAATTTACTTTCTGACTCTACAGAGAAATATTGTGCGTTGGCTCTTTGAGCAGAACTTACATTCAAGAGTAAAAGGTAACTGTGCAAGATTTGGACTCAATATAGATATTTTTTCCACAACTCAGTTTCATTAAACTGGAATAAGCTGCCCCAGGATATTCAGAATCAACATATTCAAGAATATAAATATGTTAAGTGCTTACTCTATCGGACACTTGGGCTTGTAGTCTTGTATTTATTCCTGACAACCATCTAGTAAGTTGAGCAGTATCTCTATGTGCCAGTACAGCCAGGGAAACTCAAAATTGTTAAGAGATTCAATTAGTGTCACTGAGTAAGTGGCAAAACCAGAATTCTGGGGGGTCTTGAGACACTGTTTCTTTTCCCTGCTCCACAAATAATTTCATAATATAATTCAGTGTCAACATGGTAAACGTGAGGCTTATATGGCAGGAAAAAACTGTCAGCGCTAACTGAATAAAAATAAGGGAAAAACAGCAGCAGCTCAGGAACGTTATAGCAAAAGCAATGAAGATGGGCCTGGCAGGACAAGGCTTCACAGAGGAGGGGATGAGACCCCATTCTGTTCTTCCCTGTGTTTTGCTAGAGTCACTGTAACAAATTATCACAGACTGGGTAGCTTTCACAATATAAATATATTGTCTCACAATTCTGAAGTTTAGGCATCCAATATCAAGCTGTCATGAGGGTTGTTTTTGTGAAAGGAAACTATCTTGGGCTCTGAAAATCACTGAGCTAACCGGAAAATTCAAGTTGGGCAAATCTGCCTCCCATTCTATTCTGCTCACTGAGATGAATGCGTATCTGATTGCCTTCTTTGGAAAGGCTAATCAGAAACTCAAAAGAATACAACCATGTGTCTCTCACCTACCTGTGATATGGAAGCCACATACTGCTTCAGTTGTCCCGCTTTTGCTTCGGGTTGTCCCACCTTTTGGACCAAATCAATGTTCATTTTCATGTGTTGATTGATGTCTCATGTCTCCCTAAAATGTATAAAACAAAGCTGTGCTCTGACCACCTTGAGCCCATGTCATCAGGCCCTCCTAAGGCTGTGTCATGAGCACATGTCCTCAACCTTGGCAAAATAAACGTTCTAAATTAACTGAGGCCTGTCTCAAATTTTCAGGATTCAGTTTCTTCTGAGGTCTCTCTCCTTGGCTTGCAGCTGGCTGTCTGCTGCCTGTGGCTTCATGTGGGATTGCTTTTGTGTGTGTCTGTTTAAATTTTCTCTTCTTCTGAGGCATATTGGATTAGGGCTCATCCTAGTTGTAGCCAGTGGGCTGGTTCAGGTTCTTGACTTCACCACACAAAAGAATTTGAGAGCGAGTCCAAAATAAAAGTAAGCAAAAGAATTTACTGCAAAGGGAAAGTGCACTCTGACAGCTGTCAGAGAAGGCTGCTGAAAGGTGAGATGGCATTGATTGACACCGGGGAATCTCCCTTTATGGAAAGCTTACAAAATTATTTATGAAGTGGGTGGGAAGGGTTGTTGCTGTTAAGCATGTTCTGGGTGGTCCTCTGGATGCACATGTGCTACTGATGTACATGCCAGTACATACATCACATGTCACATCAGCATCTTAAGTCTCCACTCAAGGGTGTGTTTTTTACTGTTATAGTGAGCAACAGGTCAACCCAAGGACATCAATCATGGGTTTCTGTACTTTTGTGAACTTGGAGATTTCCCCTTCTGCTCTTCTACCTCCTTGCTGCAGCATGCTCTAACGACGATCCCACGATGTGGTTTGTGCACTGTTGGGCAGCTTTTCCTCTCCATCTATTTGGCAAGTTTGTTCCCCTTTAAGGGAGGTTATGCCCATCCTATCTAATCCACCTCACAGTGACCTCATGTTAACATAAGTACCTCTTTAAGGAGCGTATTTCCAAATACAGTTGCATTCTGAGGTGCTGGGGTTAAAAATTTAATATATGGCTTTGCATCCTCATAGCTGGAGGGAGGTGAGGGATAAAAGACTACAAATTAGGTACAGTGTATGTTGCTCTGGTGATGGGAGCACCAAAATCTCACAAATCACCACTAAAGAACTTACTCATGTAACCAAACACCACCCATTCCCCAAAAACCTACAGAAATAAAAAATTAAATAAATAAATATGCAAAAAGCCCCTTTTCAAGACCAAAAGAAATAATTACTTTTAATAAAAATTAAACAAAAATTGAAAAAAATGATTAATATTTGAATTTTGAAAGAACCCAACGCAGCAATGACCCTCTTTTTCTATGTGGGAGAAGATGTAGTATTTCTAATATTCCTCTTTTCTAAAGAGATTTTCTGTGACTTCACCCTCAGTACATGACAGTCGATGAATCACCCTATCCATAAAATGAACATTTAATTACATCTAGATAATTGTATTTTGTATAGATCATTTGAGACTGTATTATGTATCAGTATTATTTATTTTCAGTCTCCCTCATCGTATTCGTAATTCTTTCAGGATATGCTATCTTCAGTACCTAAAATTATGTGAGTACACAGAAGAGTTTGTCATGAACAGTTCTGGACTAAACCAGTAAAAAATAAAATAATAAAATAATTTGTAGTGAAACAAATGAAAAAATGTTCAAAGAGTCCCAAGGGAACTATGAATCCTTCTTTGAATTCATCTGGCCTCTTGTGGACTTAGGCCTTAGAAAGCTAGAGTGGACATCAGAATAAAGGGTAGTCATTAGTAGAAACTCAAAATCAAAGAGTTAGGCCCTATGTGCTATGTACAACTTGAAGACAATGACCATGTTTATTTTGTTTATTAGTAAATATTCAGAATCTAATATAAGTCTTAGAAAATGATGTTTTTGCATAAATAAATGAATGAATTAACAAATGAAACCAAAGAAAAAAAACAAAGAATCAGACAGGTAGGAAAATTTTTAGAAAGGTAGCTCTAGATAACGTTTGTCCCTAATGAACTGTATTCATCCTTATTGTTTCCAAGTTCACCCAACTTGTTCTGAAACATTCCAAAGTCTGAGAGGACGTGACTAACCTAGATCATCTTTGCAACATTTTAGCAGGTGGCTGGGTTAATTATTTGAAATCTTGCCTTCCTCGTCCACTTTATTTTAATCATATGGACCTGATCTAGGCTTCAGTTTTCTGAAATAAGCACCCTGGAATTTTAGGTACTGAAGAGTTCCATGGCAATCTCCCTGAGATGGAGTGAGAATTGTTAATACACCTTTGGAAAGAATGGCTCCCAGACACTGTAACTCACATTAATGTGCAATATTCCTGACCACTCACTCTGCTGATGGGAATGTAATGTACTCACCCTGGTTTATTATAACAGCATTAAAATGTGCACTGTTGGTTAATCACAATGACACTTTCATCTGTTTTGGAGGTTTTGAATTGTTTTTGTAGAATTTAATCATATACTTTTTGAACTTTACCTTTTAGAAGAGTCTAGGACATTTGGGGCTGGCTTCAAGCAACACTTGTCTTTGGCATACATATTTTGGCAGAAAGAAGTTTCTATTTTGAAACTCCTTTCAGAACCATAAAACTTTATTTAATCAGCAGGCACCTACTGTGTGCTGGATAATGGGAAAAATATGTAGAACATGACTGCTTGCAATCTCTCTCCAAAGTTACAAAACAATTTGATGAGGGAAAGGAAAAATTTATCAGTTTAGCAGATGAGAAAACTGAGGTTCAATTTATTGGTGAGCTCAAATGCATTGCACATGAGTCTTCCATCTTTCTTCTTCACTGTCTTGATGCTTAGGCAGTCCATTAGATGACTAGGGATCACTTTTCCATAAAAACCTGGGCTTTGTTCTTTGCTTTTATTTATATTATTATATCAATACAATTATATGATACTTGTAAACTTGGCGGTCGGAGAGGAGTTGACTTGTGGGGATTCATTCCTTGCCATTTTCAATGAGTTATAAAGGTATCTGCAACCATGTAACACTTCAGATGTTGTCTAATATCTCAATTTACCCCTTTTCCTGCCACCCTCAGTTAACATGTAAATTTACAAGTTTGTCAGATTTCAAAGAACTTTATTTACATCTCACTTGAGTCTCACGGCTTTTTTATTTTGACAGGATGGATAGAACTCTTCCTCTAGGTTTTAGCTGAAGATGCTGACATTCAGTGATACTGACATTCAGTGAGTATTAAGTGATTATTCATGGATAAAGGGTGAAATCCTCAATTTAGTAGTGATAAGTCTTTTTTGGATGTAATGTTAAAAAATATTATTTTAATGCCTATATAACAGGAAACCCTCTAATTTGGGAGTTGGCAATGCTTTCTGTAAAGGGATAAACAGTAAATACAAGCTCTCTGTCGCTATTATTCTGCCATTATAGCACAAAAGCAGCCACAGAATTCCATAAAAACGGAATGTAAAACAAACAAACATGCTATACTCATGGAGGTTGACATTTTTACCTTTGCAACATTATTCTTTTGAAATAATTTTTTAGCCATGTAAAATATAAAAACTCCTCTTAGCTCAAAGCTCATGCAAAAACAGGTAACAGGCCAAATACTACCTGTAGGCTGCACTTTGCTGACCTCTGATCTAAATCTTAGAGCTTTAACATAGAACGCATCAGACTGAAAACTCCTGGAACATTTGGAGCTTACATTCTACTGAGGGTAAGTGAGGTTGAAAAGAAAAAAGCCCAACATAAAAGAGAACGCTCAGCAAAATAGAAACAAATTAGAACTTAAGAAGAAAATGATGAGTGTGCAGATGCCTCAGGCAGTGTATTGGCATATGTCTGCGTGGGTCTACTCATTTCTAGGGGAGGTACTGGTAGGACAGTAAAGTTATTGAAAGCTTTAAGAATAGGACTAGCCGTGGGTGTGGTGGTGTGCACCTGTGGTCCCACCTACTCAGGAGGCTGAGATGGGAGGATGGCTTGAGCCTGGGAAGTTGAGGTGCAGTGAGCTGTGATTATGTCTCTGCACTCCAGCCTGTGGAGTCTGGAGGACAAAGCAGGGCCTTGTCTCCAAACAAAACAAACAAAAACTATTCGGTGTAGCTAAAATTTAATTGTAAAATTTTTCCCTTCTTGTGCTTTGTTGGGCTTTGTGCACTATAATCACCGGTCATTACCCTGAATTTTTGTAAAAATCTACCATACATAATGGGTTGTAATGAGTAGCGCTTTGTAGAATTGAAGGTAAAGGGGCTATGTTCCACATTTACGTCAACACACAGTGACCAAGAAAGAGCAGTCGCCTGAAGTGAGCTGTGTGAAAGAATTCAGTAGAAGCTGAAAATCAGTGCTGAATAAATCCAGGAATAAGGATTCCTTCATTTGATGATAAATCAAAAAAATTAGATATTGGAATGGTAGTGGAGATTCCCATGAGATGCGAAAGGACATGATTCAATTTTATATAAGACTACTGCTAATAGCTGAGCTGCATAAGAAATATTATTTTATATAGATATTTTCATTTGGATTCTCCTGTTTCAGCCTTTCAAAAGTCAATGAGGTGCTTGGGACAAATGTCTCATTTGTATGTTACAGATAACTCTGTCATTATTACTCTGGGACTCAAGTATTTCCACTGGAATGTAAGCTCCATGAAGTAAGGTATTTTCATTTTGTTTTGTTTGTTGTCTGTTGTATTCACTTCTGTATTCCCACTGCCTTAACCAGTGTCTAACACAGAGAAAATAATTAATAAACAGTCTTAAATGAACAAAAGATAATGTACAGATAGAAGAACAAATAAACAGATTAAGTGAGGGCTCTCATAGAAAATGCCTGAACTGTTGAATTTTGAGTTAAAATGAGGGAAATTTTCAGGCCTTTAAATGGCTTAATAAATGAGAAGTACTGAATATGTATTTTCTATGAGATTGCTTCTGTGCCACAGAATATCAGCTTTTCAGATTTTGTAAAAGGATGATGTTCTCTAAGGAAGTTCTGTTTCTTCTTGTGTAGAACGCATCATGAGGATTCATCTGATTGTTGAGTTATAGCCTTAATGTCTGCATCTATTGCTTCTCTGAGAAGTTCCTTTGTGAAAGTACAAAAGTCTCACAGAATTGATGGAAATCTCAGGATCTGATAAGGCCAACATCTCAATCTCTGTTATTATTTCTGTACCTTCCTCTTAGCAAACCAGCTGATTTCTCCAATCTGATCCATGTTGATCTTTTAGGTTATGGGGAATACAAGTGATAGAGGCAGGAGGCAGATGGTGCAGGTCCCCAGTGAAACCTCACCTTCAAGTAGAAAAACCTGAAACCCACAGCCCAAAGTGAGAGCTTCTATTCCTGTCTACCAGTTCTCTCCAAGTTGGTTCTTTCTGAATAATGCCTTCTTGCCAGTCGAATGTTGTCTTTTCCAAAACTACCTATGGCCTGCCCCATCCCCCATCCTGTGCCTATAAAGACCCCAGGCTCAGTCAGTAGAGGGGAGCAAGGCAGCTTGTTTTCAGCAAGGCAGCTTGACTTTGGAGGGATGGCTTGAGTTCAGGGAAGAGCTGGCCAGACTTCAGAGAAGACTACCTGCCCATCCCATCCCCTTTTCAGCTCCCCTCTCTGCTGAGAGCCATTTCCATTGCTTAATAAAATTCTCCACCTTCACCATCCTTTAAGTGTCCATGCGACCTCTACGGGTACACAAAAAAGGCTGTCACACTGGCCCTTTACCCTCACCAGCAGAGGGCATTCACCCCACGTGATGAAGAAAGGGCCCATCTGAGCTGATAACATACTGCTGTCCACGGACAATAGAGCTAAAAGCACTGTAACATGCCCTCTTGAGCTTTGGGGTCGCAGGAACCTACCCCCCACAACCTGGATGTCACCCCATGGAGCTTGCTCCCACTGGTGCCTGGAGCTACTGGCTGGGTCCCATATTTTCTCACTTGTGCCTGGTCTGGCCATGGGTTCCGCATGGAATTTGCTCCCGTGTCGATGCCCAGGGTGGCCTACCGGGTCCTGCACTTGCTTGCTCATGTGCTCCCTCCTGCATGTGAGGGGTTGAGGGCTGTGGGCCAAGTAAATGCTCTCCCTTGTCAGGAATCTGACTAAGGGGCCAATAAAAATCCTGCTTCACGAGGCAATAGATAAGGTGCTATTTAATTTCACCTCTTTGCTCACCTGGACATAGATGGAGAGTGACTTGGATCCTTTATCAAAGTTTTCACTTTTCCTTTATCCCACTATGAATTAACTGGAGGCAGGGGCCCCATATTATTCGTTTTTGCATCTGAGGATTTAGTACAGAGCATGACCCAGGTCTGTCATCAATAAACACATGTTGATTAAAATTTAATTACTATCTTTTTATTATACTCTAAAACTATATCATTGGCTTGATCATGAAATTCTAAGTAGATGTCCAGATTGAAGAACCTTCTGATTTAAAACTCTTAATTCATACAACCATGAATATCTCGTATCAACAACCTGTCCCCAAAATTTTGCAGAAATAAACATTTAAATTAATATCAAATGCTTCTAATAGAGTTGGAATATATGTGTGGAATATATATAAAAATATATGTAGATATGTAAATTATATATATGTACATATATGTGTATATTCTAATATATATTAATGTATTATAATGTGTACATTCTAACAGAGTTGGTATGTAAACATATCTATGTATATTCTATACATATCTTCAACAAATATTTAAGAATAGCACATACGGGACAGATGCTGAGCCAGGCCCTGGAGTCCAGTCCACTGGTGAACATCTGGTCTCTGTTCTTAAAGACTTTTCTGGCACAGGGATATAGAGGGAAAACATGGAATAAATCATGGAAGTAAGTACCTAAGCACAGATTTTGATAAGTGTTGTTAAGAAAAATAAGAGGCATGTATAAAAAGGTATGATATAAAAAGAATGGAGAATGACTAGAGAAGAATCTCTCTCAGGAAGTCTCATATAAACTACACTTGGGAGAAAGATCAGTAAGAATTAGCTACTTACTTAATGAACTGCATTGTGAGGTCACTCACATAAAGGTCTTATCTTGGAGCTCATAAAATATATAAATTCAATTCTATTACTCTTTTTTTAAAAATTTTAACTTAAGTAAAGCCTTAGTTTTATGTTCTTGATTACTAAAATAAAACACACTCTGATTCTATACCTTGATTTCCTACCCCATGAAGTGGGATTAGTCATAGTAACTAATTCTTACATTTTTAATGAGGATTATGAGTTAATACACATCAAGTGCTTAAGACTGTATCAACATTATTTAAGTGTTGAATACGTTCTAGAAGTTCTTGATATTGCTATTTTATTAGTAAATACAAATTCCTACCATTTTGTACATTAATCAAATAGATATTCTAAATGAGGACATAATATCTCTCCCAGATGAGTAACAAGACATCAGTGAGTTAACTTTTGCTTGTGATGCCTAATTGGGCCATTTCTTTTCTGATGGTGTTGCTTGACTTCTCTATCCCAAAGGCTCAAACCATGAGTTAGGGAAGGTTTGAAGAGAAGGCTGGTCAGTCATTTTCACTGAACCAGAATGCACTGATAGAATTGATAACAATTGATAACCACGGAGTAACAACAGACTGTGTTCAGGAAATAAGAGTAGAATAAGCCAGAACAGTCTGCCCTCAGTGGGTTTGAAAAATCACACATACATTGCTGGAGGATCACTAATCAAGGCATGGTGCTACATGAAAATAGAAGTGTTAACAGAACACAAATTAAAACTTCAAATAGCTCTAAATGGAACCCCAAGATGTCCATCAGTAACCAATATTTACCATGTGCCACTTCAATGTGAAAAGCCCTAAAGGAAGTTGGGTGCACATCATTGGGAATAAATAGAAATTAAATGGATAAAAAAATTAGGCATTTGAGAAATCATTTTAGACATCTATAACCGCACAAACCAAAGCCCAGAAGGTGAGCAAAACATGGTAGTTTCAGAGAACCAAAAGTAGTGTGGAATGCCCTGAGGTTATGTTACAAAGAAAGAGAATAGACAAAGATGAGGCTAGTGAGGCCGACTGGAGTCAAATAATGAGGATTCTTCTGCGTTATGCTGAGAATCCTCTTAGGCCAAATACTACAAAAACATCCTCTTGAGAATACTATTGTTCGTTTTTTCTTAGAGTGACTACAAGCTTCTCATTCAAATGGAATGGACAGGAAGAGTGGAAGACATATAATTGTATTTTTGCCTGTCTCCTAGGAGATACTCGTAAGAGCAGCTAACAGAAATAGTGCCATAGCCAAAACATCACAACGTGAATACACACACACACACACACACACACACCACACACACACACACACACACACACACTTTCTACAGGCTGATTAACCATAAAATGGTACCTGTAACAATGGCCAAGAAACACAGAGAATTAGTACATTAGAATACATCTCACAGATTGTTCAGGGTTTCAGGTTGCACATTTGCATCTTTCAAAGATGTAATTATGTCAGATAATATACCCTGTGCTAGAGTTTTTACATAAACACTTGTGGTTTAGGTCAGAGTTATCTCTACTGCATGGAGCAGCTGTTGGGAGAAAAATATAAGCTATTAAAAGCAGTTTGAATTAGATGTGGTCTACTTGCTTAAAATATACAATGTGTAGTCACTTATCAAGCAGGACAGTGAGTTACTGTTTATTTATTATGCAAAACGTGTGCTTGGATAAGGTATACAAATTAAGTAGCTTGTAGAGGAGCATGTTACCAATTCTGCAAGAAGCTTAAAAGCAAGTCACTTTAAATACACATTGCAATTTCAGATAAAGTCTACATTCATAGACCCACAAATGAGAAACAAATATTGAAGGCCTATGACCAGAGAATGAAGCAATAGAAATGTCCTCTTTTTTTTTCCTAATGGTCTTTTAATTTCACTTTACAATCACAAACACGATAGCCCTGCTTTCACTAAATAATCTTTAGAATAGAATAGAGAGGATATTTTAAAATTTGTGATTCAGTTAAGGTTCGATTAGGGAAGCAGAGGCCGTGTATTATGAGATAGAGACTTTATATCAGGAATTAGACTTCATACAATTGATGGTGAAGCTGGGGAGGTAAAATTATAGAAAGGATCAGAAAAGAGTCCCAGCCAGCCCTGGCATGGATGAGCCAGTCATGCTTTTCAGAATGCAGCTGCCGGATTGTAACCATGATGAGCAGGTATAGAAGTGGATGTGCGGATCCTGATCTTCATGGTTCTGACCTCAGTGAATTCACGGTAAAGCATGCAGTGGCGGGCCTGGAGATGCTTTGACCAGCAGAGCTAAAGTAAAGAAGGAGACCACTCTGTCTTTCACCTTTTCTAAATAACTACAACCTTCAGATTTGTTTTTAATTAATAGATTATTTTTACAACAGTTTTAGGTTTAGAGAAAAATTGAGCAGAAAGTACACTTTCCATATATTCATTTCCTGCCCACAGTTTTTATTAGCATCTTGCTTAGTGTGGCAGAAGTGCTGTAATTAATGAACCAGTATTGATTATTTTATTAACTAAATTCCATAGTTTACATTGGGAATCACTCCTTATGCCGTAGAGTCGTGTGAATTTGATGAAGGCATAATGCAGTGTATCCAATATCACAATGTCACGCAGAACAACTTCACTGCCCTCAAAAGCTCCCATGTTCCACCTACTCATCCCTCTCTCTCCCAACTTCCTGGCAATGACCAGATTTTTTTTTCTTTTTTCTTTTGCCATCTCTATAGATTTACCTTTTCCAGAATGTCTTGTAGTTGGAATTACAAAGCCTTCCAAACTGGTTTATTTCACTTGACAGTATGAATTTGTTTCCTTCATATCTTTTTATGATATAATATCTCATTTTCTTTTATTGCTGGATAATATTACATTGTATGGATGTACCATAGTTTGTTTATTCATTCAACTATGAAAAGGCATCTTCATTGCTTCCAGGTTTCAACAATTATAAAGACAACCTTCAGATTTCAAAGGCTGGGTGTTTCATTTCTGCAACCCAAATACCACAGATTTTTTTTCTTGTGGCCAGAGAAATCCTAGGAAAGTTAATTATAGCTTAGCCAAGTTAACACAGCACAAAACCACCACAACCCAGTCTTGTCCTCTTTCCGTCCTTATATATCTCTGTTAACTGACATAACTTTCAAATGAAAATACTGACAAAATTTTGCTTCTACCCAACAAGATGCAAATATCCTTCCTGTAAACAAAACTATGCTAACCATTTCCCCAAAGACAATATCAAGTCTCATGTGTCATCTTATTCACCTTTCGATGATGTACTTATTGCTTTTTGTACTTGATCACATACCATTTTATGTCCAGTAACATCAGTACTAAGATACAACATTAATTTCTATTAATATATATACAATTAGCAGATAGGAGAATAAAAAATTGTTAAAATATTAACAAATGTATTCATTTTAAAATTAAAAATAAATACTCAATATAGTGTTTCTTTCTGCATCTGGTCGTATGTTTGCAGTATTAATAGTCATAACTTCTCTCTACATCCACTATTACATATTTCCTTTTCTCTTAGCAAACATCTTAGCTGTTTTTGGTTTCTCAACTAGTGGAGTTATCTAAACCTTTGTTTCTGAAGAGTCTAGGCTATTAGCAGTCCCAAGTGTACTGCGATGTGAGTTTTCATTAACTTTTATCTCTGGATTTGAAAATATTCAGATACATCCAAGGAGATTTCCTGCATTTAAGACATAATCTTCCTTATTCTTCTTGAGCATAGCAACAAAACTCAAGATCAATACCCTAGACAAGGTAATAATGTCATTCTTTCCTGTTTGATTCATGGACCTGAGAAGCAGAAAGTGGTCAAATGACATCTTCACTTTCCAGTTTAACAGACTGTTGCTGTTTCCTGCTAAAGAACTTTCCTTTCAAGAAACAAAGATGTTCAAACCAGAAGCCAAAGTTGTGGGGATAAGAGGCAAAAATTTTACTAATGGATCATTAAAGTTAATAGTGAAAGAGGCCACTACCATTTCTCTCCTTGATTTTAGACTCATAGGTTCTAGCTAGAGGAGCTATAATTCCATATTCTTCTAGCTAGTTTGGAGCACATAGGCATCCTATAGAATATTGCATTGCCCCGTAAATCATGGTCACTCAGCTGGCACTGTAATTGAACCTCCAGAAAGAACATTCAATTTTTCTCTCAGCTTTCATGTGATGGGTGACGTTAAAAAACATGTGAATTTTATGAGCAAAAGTCCATCATTGCACTTCATATTCGGTAAAATGAATTACTTGGCCATAAAGAATTCTAAGTGGAACACCATCATAATAAATAGGACATTCTCTATGTCAAAAGATCATGGTTTGGGCAAAGCATTTTGAGCGGAATAAGTGACCATTCCAGTGAGAATAATCTATTGCTTCATCCAGGATGGACAAGATAGAATATAAACAACCTACCCTCACACTGAGTGATCCCTCTGCTGAATAGTACTGGTCTATGTCATTAGCAGGTTGCCCACTCACCAGTGGCTGTAGCCAGATCAGCCTTGATGAGTGGAAAACTATGCTGCTGACCTCATGCATAACCTCCACTCCTGTTGCTGTTTTCATTTTGTCCATAAGCCCATTGTAGACAAGTGTAAGGACAGGTGTAGCTGAAAAAAAGTTGACAGATATCCACAGATGGATCAACTTGTCCACTGATGACTAAAATTCTTCTGAGATCATTCATTGGCACACAAATATTTTTACATTTTATTCATATTCAGAAAAGTTTACATAAATATTTCTTTCTCTTAAATTCATATTATCAGTTTTCCAATTATATTCTTTCTAAGTCCATGAGATTCAGCCCAACTATTAGCTACAGATTACAAATCAGTGTAGATCCACACCTCTAGCCATTTCTCCTGAGGAAAAAATGAGCAACCTGTTCACTGGACCTAGAGCTGTTCCACTTACCCAATTTAAAGAAAACTTTAATTGGCTGTCTACTAAATTTTACCTAGGGATGTAATGATCAACTAGTCAATATTAAAGACCTCTACTAGTCAAGCCATTCTAATTACCTTATCATATCATTTCTTCTGCCTATTGCAATAACCATGTCCATGCTTCTGTGGCTACTAAGAGCACCGTTTGGCCCCTGTTTAATCTTACCATTTCCATTGAATCTAGAATGCCTGGGTTGAAGAAAACATTCCTTGCTGTTATAACTAGCCTGCTGAGAATAACTACAAAACTGTTAAAAAATGTGTGCTTCCCTCATCAATGTGTCAAAAACAATATGAATATTTTTATATTTTTGCATGTCATGTCCTTCTGAGCAACAAAAGTTGGCATGTTATGAAGATAGAGAATGCTTCCTTATTTCCCCAGAACCATTTGTCCTTCTCATTGTAAGGGTAATAGATATGAAGACATTTGTCTCCTTTTTGGTATAGCCATGTGCTCTCATCCCAAAGTAATAAAGACTTTCTTATAATCTCCAGAGCTAAATACTTACATTCTGAGCTATGGACTGTCTTGTACTCTCCAGAAAGGACTTGAGTACATTAAAGAACAAAGGTCTTTCTTCCTCTCTCTGGAGGTAAGGTGGGGTAGATGTGCAGCAGTTCCTATGTAAACTCCAAGTTTCATAATTTCAAGGTTTCTTTCCTATAGAACCAATCTATACATGCAATGTCATATCCCCCTTCCTAGCATTACCTCAAGAAAGAACTTGAGCATGGAGAACCAACACAAGATAAACATTCCATAATTTAAAAATGGACTGAATCTGGTTTAGAAACTTCCTGTTTACTTCCAAGAAAAAAATAAATTAATAGAGATACATTTTAAAAATCTTATCATGATGTCTCTCTATAATCCTTGTGAAGAGCTTTGAAAGGCATATTAATGAAGTAGGCTGGCTGTGTCCTCCTTGGCTTTATAGTCACAGTAGGGGTAAACAGCCTTTATATAATAAATCTATTCTTGCTTCTAATTTCCCAAACCTTTAGATACCTTTTTATACAGCAATCAAGAAAGTTCTGGCATTTGAATTTTATTTTGTGTGGACCAAATTAGGGTTTAGGTTTCAGTCCAGAAAGGAAATAAGCCAACTCTAAGAGTCACTCCCAGTACTCAAATGAACACATGGAATCCAGTAATCCTGCTCAGTGCACCTGTATCAATAAATTAGCCCGATCAATATTCTACTCTTTGCTCCTGACACAACACATTTAGAATTCATTCTCCTATATGATCTTTCTTGTCTTTCAATATATACTGACAAGATCATGTACTGCTTTTGGTGTGAGTGTCTCTCAGCTTTTGTACCTCACCCTCTGGGGTAGATCTAGAATTGAGAAATGAGAAGTGAGGGGTGACAGGAGCAGGTGCTGTGGAGAATTAGCAATTCCCTGCCAGACTTCCATCTTGGAAGAATCTATTACAGGTTTTTTAAGCAAGAAGAGATCAAACTCATAAAACAAGAAAAAGTACTTATTTCTATTGGTAAAGAGGCTTAGGAAAATTTAACGTTAAAGTATCTTCAGAATCTGTCCATGTTGAC
This sequence comes from Homo sapiens, assembly GCF_000001405.40. Taxonomy (NCBI): domain Eukaryota; kingdom Metazoa; phylum Chordata; class Mammalia; order Primates; family Hominidae; genus Homo; species Homo sapiens. The sequence goes on along the minus strand of NC_000008.11, from coordinate 136,362,274 downwards.
TTACGGGGTTTTGTACTATTTTTGCAAACAATTCCCTCACTTTGATATATGAGGTTGTGAATTCAATCTGTGTTGTAATTCAGCTGCCACTCATCCAAAAAATAAGACTTTGGGTTTTGAGTTCAGAAAAGCTGATTCCTGTGGTTATAAGAGATAAAGTTTCCTTCAGGGAAGTCCAAGAAACTCTCTGGTCTCTAAATCAGGTGGTGAAGTTGGAATTTAAATAGCTGAGCTAAACACTTAACTTACTCCAAGGTATTCTGCAACCAAGAAGCCATTAATAACTCCATTATTGTTACCTTATTCTGCCTAAAATATTCTATGGGCAAATCCTTGGCCAACCAAAAGCTTGCCTTCTACAAGCACTTGGTCATTTCAGAGGAGATAATTTATGTAACCATTCTCTCATACTTCACATATCTAAACAATGAAGCATAATATTCTGACTGTAATTCCAAAGTCTATACTGAATTCTATATGCTATGAACTATCAATGTCCCTTTATCACTGGCAATATGGACATCAGGGCCTCTAAATATAATAAAATTGGAGACTTAATTCCAGATTCTTATATGTAAATTATGTTGCACTGGAAACAGTTCTGAGCTATTAAAAAATAACAATTATTTAGGGACCACTCACAGCAGCTGAATAATAAACGGTTTTGTTATATAAAACAAATTGTTAATATAAAAATTAAATATACAACTGTTGGAAATACTTGGGAAATTAAAGGTCATTAAATAGTTTCAAATATTACTAAACAGCCCAGGAATGGATGAACAAATTGAAGACTGCAGGAAGCTACACATATCCAGTTTCTGGAGTGGAACTCCCACGGGTTAAGGTAGAAATTTACATTGCTATTGCTTCTCTGAGCTTAGAAAAACACATTTGGCTGTTTCCTCTCAGTAGGTCTGGGATTTGAGAAGGAACCCTGGACTTAGAGTAGAAACATTTGAAGACAAACTGGAACTTGCCAGACCTTTGTCTCTGTCTCTAGCCACCTACAAACAAGTGGGGCTATGAAAGTACAATGACTTGTGCTGGAGATCAAGGTGAATGGCATTTACAGAGTAGTGTACTGGAGGGAAGGATAGTTGAGAAATATGAAGAACATCCTCCTCAATGTATTCAGCTCAACACTGATCAGAACATTCATGTGAAAAAAGCTGCCTAAGGCTGTAAGAAACACCACAGAAAGAATTCATGGGAGTAGTGCTCTGGGAATTCCAGGCTGGGAATAGTACTTGATCCCATAGGACAGAAAGGAAAATCTCATAATTTATGGATATTGGGCAGAATACTCAACAGAGTCTTACCAAAGCAATGGGATATTAACCTTAGACTAAACACAGCTGTAGTATTGTATAAGAAATATCATGATTAAGATCAAACAGAATCAAACTACTTTCTGGTAACTGACTATATCCAAGATCCAAGATAAAGAATATTTGTAGGAATACAAAAATATGTATCACCCATCGAGATAATGCCCAGAATATCTGGAACCTAATAAAATATTACCAGGCTTCCCTCAAAATCAATCTAGAAAGTTCAACCTATAAGAAGATAAACTCAGTTAAAACATAGTTAATCACGACACAAATGTTAGAATTATCAGATAAAGACATTAAAATAATTAGCTCTATATTCCTTATGTTCAAACAGTTAAGTAGAATTAAGGAGTGTTGTGTGTGTCTGTGTGTGTGTGTGTACATATATATGATCCAAATCAAACTTCTTTTTTAAATTTTATTATCAAACTTCTATAGAAGGTGACTACAATATCTGAGATGAAATATACACTGGATAGGATTAACAGCAGACTAGACATTGCAGGAGAAAATATTAGTGAAATTGAAGTCACAGAAATTCAGACTACCTAAAAGGCAGGCTAGAAGGAATAATCAATTTTAAAAATGACAATATGAGCAGTGAGCTATAGTAAAACTTCAGGAAAACTTAATATACATGAAACTGGATTTGCCGAAGAAAGTGAGGGGCAGAAAATATAAAAAAAGACCCAATTTTTTCATTTGATTAACAAGGATATATGGGACAAAATGGAAAACAAATAGCAAGAATACTGACTTAAACTTGTCCATACCAATAATCATAGAAAATGTAAATAATCGAAACACCTAGTGAAAAGGCAGAGATTGTCAGATTGAATTTTTAAAAACAAGGCCAAACCATTCACCGCCTATAAGAAACATATTTTCAGTATAAATATATAAATCTGTTAAAACTGCAAAAATAAAAAAGATAAGATGATCAAAAGAAAATTGTTGAGGTGATGTTAATATCATAAAAACTAGTTTGCAGAGAAGTAAATACTACCAAAGAAAAAGGCAATAATTTTATGGTATTAAAAGGGTCAATACATCCAGTGACTGCAACAAATTTAAATGCTTGTATTACTCAAAACAAAATATATAAAGCAAAAACTGTTAGAACTGCAAGAAAATATAAACCAACCAACAATTACAGTTAGAAATATTAATGCTCCTTTCTCAATAATTGATATAGCAAGTGGGAGGAAATTACTAATGATATAGAAGACTAGAACAATACTATCTATATCAATATGATCTAATTTATATTTATAAGACACTCCAAAGAAAGATAGCAGAGTAAAAATGCTTTCCAAGTATAACACCAGAACAAGATAAGGATGCCCTCTTTCACCACTCCTATTGAACAGTACTGGAAGTCCTAGCCACAGCAATCAGGCAAGATAAAGAAATAAAAGGCATCCAAATAGGAAGAAAGAAAGTAGACTATGTCTATTTACAGATAATATGATTCTAACTACAAAACCACGTAGTCTCTGCCCAAAAGCTCCTTGTACACCACTTCAGCAAAATTTCAGGATAGAAAATCAATCTACAAAAATCAGTAGCATTTCTCTACACCCACACTATTCAAGCTGAGAGCCAAATCAAGAACACAATCTCATTCACAATAGCCACACCAAAAAATACCTAGCAATACAGCTAACCACGGAGGTAAAAGACCTCTCTGAAAATTACAAAACGCTGCTCAATGAGAACAGAGATGACACAAACAAATGGACAAGCATTTCATGTTCATGATTGGGAAGAATCAATATTGCCAAAATGGTTGTACTGCCCAAAGAAATTTACAGGTTTCATGCTATTCCTATCAAACTACCAATGACATTCTTCACAGAATTAGAAGAAAAACTATTTTAAAATTCATGTGAACCCCTCCCGCACAAAAGAAGCCTGAATAACCAAGGTATTCCTAAGCGAAAAGAACAAACATAGAGGCATCACATTACCTGAGTTCAAATCATACTACAAGTCTACAGTAACCAAAACAGCATGGTATTCGTATAAAAACAGACACACAGACCAATGGAACAGAATATAGATCCCAGGAATAATGCTGCCTACCTACAACCATCTGATCTTTGACAAAATTGACAACAACAAGTGATAGGGAAAGGACTCCCTATCAATAAATGGTCTTGAGATAGTTGTCTAGCCATATGCAGAAGACTAAAACTGGATCCCTTCCTTACACCATATATAAAAATCAATTCAAGATGTTTTAATGACTTAAATCTAAAACCAAAAGCTATACAAACCCTGAAACATAACCTAAGAAGTACCATTCTGGATGTAAGACATAGGAAATACTTTTTGACAAAGATGTGAAAAGTGATTTCAATAAAAACAAAAATTGACAAATGCGACCTAATTAAACCAAAGAGCTTCTGCACAGCAAAAGAAACTATCAACAGAGTAAACAGGCAAACTACAGAATGGGAGAAAATATTTGCAAACTCTTCAGCTGGCAAAGGTCTAATATCCAGAATCTATAAGGAGCTTAAACAAGTTTGAAAGCAAAAAACAAACAACCCCATCAAAAAGTAAGCAAAGGACATGAAGAGATATTTTTCAAAAGAGGACATACATGTGGCCAACAAACATAAAAAAATGCTCAATGTCACTAATCATTAGAGAAATGCAAACCAAAACCACAATGAGATACCATCTCACACCAGTCAGAATAGCTATGATTCAAAAGTCAAAAAAAAAAAAAAAAAAAAAAAAAAAAAAAAAAAAAAAACAGACGCTGGTGAGGTTGCGGAGAAAAGGGAATGCTTGTGCACTGCTGGTGGAAATGTAAATTATTTCAGTCTTTTGGAAAGGAATTTGGTGATTTCTCAAAGAACTTAAAAGAGAACTACCATTTGACATAGCAATCCGATTGTTGGATATATACCCAAAGGAATATAAATCATTCTACCATAAAGACACATGCACATCTATGTTCATCACAGCACTATTCACAAAAGAAAAAACATAGAATCAACCTAAATGCCCATCGACGGAAGGCTGGATAAAGAAAATGTGATATACACCTATGGAATACTATGTAGCCATAAAAATGATGAAAGCATGTAATTTGCAGCAACATGGATGGAGCTGGAGGTCATTATCCTGAGCCAACTAACTCAGGAACAGAAAACTAAATACCACATGCTCTTACTTATAAATGGGAGCTAAACATTGAATACGTGTGGAAACAAAGAAGGGAACACACATAAGGGCCTACTTAAGGGTGGGAGGTGGGAGGAGGGTGAGGATCAAAAAGCTGCTTATCATGTATTAGGCTTATTACCTGGGTGATGAAATAATCTGTACACCAATCCCCTGTGACATGAAATTCACCTATATGATAAACCTGTACATGTATCCCTGAACCTAAAATAAAAATCAAAAAAACCCCAAAACTATATATGTATATATGTATGTATCTATATAGATACACACAAGAAATTTCTATATGTATGTAGTATTTCTATATATGTAGAAATGTATATCTAGAAATTCTATATATATAGAAACACAAGAAATGCTGTTTTATCAGTTATAAAATGTCTTTGTAAGTGTAAAATGATTCAAATTAAATGAAATATGTTTTCTGACCACAATAGAACTAAATTGCAAATCAGTAAGGTGAAAATATTCCTGTAAATATTCTAAACATTTGAAATTTAAATAAACTTTTAAAAATATCCATGGGTCAATGGAAAATCAAAAGAAAAAATAAAAAGTATTTTGAACTGAATCAAAAATTTAAAAAAATAAAATTTGGGAGATGTGGCTAAAAGAGTATTTAGAGAAAGATTTATAACTATGTTAGAAAGGAAGAAATACCTAGTCAATGATCTCAGCTTCCTCCTAAAGAAACTAACAAAATAAGCATAAACAAATATGAAAGTTAAAAGAAGAAAAAGAACACTAAATAGCAGATCAGAAATCAATAAAACATAAAATACAAAGTGAATAAATAAAAGCAAGCCAAAAGGTGATTTTTGTATATAAGTTAATAAATATAAATGATATAACTTTAACCACAATGATCAGGAAAAAATAAAGGAAGACCATAAATGACCAATATTAGAGACCAGAGAGGTAATGTAACTACATAGTCTACATACATCATAAGAGTGGTATGATAATATCACCAACAATTTTCTGTCAATAAATTTTTAGAGGATATAGACATATTTTTGAGACACACAAACTATAAAAACTCATCAAAGAACAAAGGATAATATCACTGACCCTAAAGTCACAATCCTCCCCTCAGAAAAAATTCCTAGCACACATGATTTTATTTTTGTGTCCTACTAAACATTAAAACAAATATAATACTAATTCTACACAAACTTTTTCAGAAAATTGAAGTGGAGGGAATATTTCCAAACTCACTCTATGAAATCAGAATTATTCTAAAACAAAAGCAGAAAAAGATATAGTGAATAAAAAGAGAATACGCAAATATTTTTCATGAATATTGATGAAAGTTTAAAAAAAATTTTAGGAAATAGAATTCACCAATATATAGACAATATAATGCCTCATAACTCCAAGTGCACTTGATCCCAAACATGTATGCTAGGTACATTAAACATTCCAAATCTAGTTACTATAATTGAACATATGACACTTAGCAAACTAAAAAAAGAAAACATGTAATCATTTCAGGAAAGTAGAAAACACATTGGATACCATCTAATGTCAATTCCCAATAAAAACTCTTGAAAGTAAAGATAGAAGAGTTCTTCTCAATCTGAAAATGAATACCTACAGTAAACACACAGCTAACATCATGCATAATGTTGAGAGACTAAACATGTAAGTCAGGGTTGAATTGAATAGAAGCTAGTGGATGTTACGGGTATGTTAAGGGAATATTCTAGAAAAGACCTGCTGCTATTGGAGTCTTCTGGTTGCACTTTCAAGAACTTGCTTTATGTACAAAAATTATTTTGTAATTATTACCTAATATTGCTATTATTTGTAGTTAACATATTTTTATATACATTTGATTACTGTTATCTCTATTTTTTAAAAAATCTAAAGATAAGAGAGATTTTGATTTGTGAAAAATTAGATAGAAATTCTTTCTTACATTATATAAATATTTTTGGACAGTTGCTAACTATGTGTCTGAGCTGCACAAGGAACAAGAATCCAATACTTGTTATGATATAGCACTTGCCCTCATGTAGCTCCCAGTTAACAAAGAGAAATAAGTCAGTAAAGTAGAGGTTAGGGAGCACAAACTATAAAGGCCAAAGGGCAGAGTGTATATCTAGTCATACTTGGAAGATATAATTATGCACATTTTACAATAAGGAAATCAGGTATTAACAAAGATGACTTGCTCACGGCGCACAGCCACCTGGCAGTGGAAAGTGAATTCACTTCTGATTATTAAAAAGATCATGTACTTTATTTTGCTTTTTGTTTCACTATAAATGAAGTTCACTCCTGAAATTCCACATGTTGCTATCTTGATACAGTACTGAGCCCTATATCACTTGATTCATATTTACATAATGTATAAAGCACTTAACTCAGCATCTGTGCATCACATTATGTCCTTTGAGGTTGAGCACTTAATTATCACAAGGCTTTGGTCTATTCTCATTATCTCTTAGAATTTCAATTTGCCCAATCTGTAAAATGAAGAGAAAGGTATTAGCAAGGGTTGTTTACAAATTGAGAAAATAAATATTAAGAAATTGCCTAGAATCTAGAAAGTGTTCAATTAGTTATAATTCTCTAGTCTTCTCAATTACATCTTTTATGTAGTGTTTGGGGAGTTCAGATTGAAAAAAAAAGTTTGTAAAAGTCTTTATAACATATGAAATGCTATCTAGATCATCTGTTTATTAATTAGTGAAGTAGCTCAACTCAGCCAATGTGGAGGGGTGTGAGTAAATTCCAAAAATGAAGGTGCATTACTCCATTTTGTGTCTGTGAGACCCATAAAGTTTGTGCTGCCTGCTTCTTGAGAACGAACTCTCTCAAGAGATTCTGAACACTTCCTTGAATAGCTCTGGACCAAAAATACTTCTATAACAGTTGTCTTTGCTGAAATGAATCCCAGTGGGAAATGGAACACAGGAAGCAGATAAACAGTGTCTGTGAAAATATCATTTAACCTTAAAATATGTCTGTTTGGAAATAACTTTTCTTATTGTATGGCAACATAAACATTTTCTAGGCCATTTCAGTAAGATGGATCATTAGACTCTGAGCAAACATTGATTCTTGCCCCACTTTTCTTGCTTGCAGAAATGATCCCTAAAAGAGAGTCTAAAATTGGCAAAAATGCTTTTTTTGAAATCTTAAGGGTTGTTTTAATCAGAATTCAAATAAATTTCACACATTTTTGTTGTTGTTGTTGTATCGCATAGGTATATTTTAGTCTATAGATTTCTTCTCCTTTCTCTTTAATTTTGATTTTTGTATATTTTTTGCCAAAGAAATTTGGTTATTTCTCTGATAAACTTTTCCAGGATACAAATTTTACTGATTGCGTTCTTGTTGTATAGTTTATCATGTTTCACTGTTCTATGCATTCTATAAAAAGTGGTAATTAAATCTAGAAGCATGAGCAATTGTAATCTCTTTAGCAAGACCCCTTCATCTGGCAGGAGGTATAGGATATCTAATTGCTTGTCTTTCAGTGATGTTCACAGATATTAATGATTATTAGCTAGGTCCATTAATTCATTTGCAAAGTAGTCATATTCTAATTTTGTTATTCCTTCTTCATTTATTGGGTACTAGCTATTGGCCAATTAGAGACACATGAGAAGTCTCCTAGAACAGGGTGGGGGCTTCTGGGCAATAGGTTTCTTCCCAATTAAAAGAGGTGCCAGAGGAGAGTGTGTTCCTATCTTCCTCTTAGAGGCATTATTGTATGAGGACCTAATTTGTGGAACTGCCATAGCCATCTTACAATCATGTGGTGAGACATTGCTGAGAGATAAAAGAGGTACACTAAAAAAGAAGAAGAAGAAGAAGAAGAAGAGGAAGAAGAAGAAGAAGAAAAAGAAGAAGAAGAAGAAGAAGAAGAAGAAGAAGAAGAAGAAGAAGAAGAAGAAGAAGAAGAAGAAGAAGAAGAAGAAGAAGAAGAAGAAGAAGAAGAATCGGAATGACTGGGAACTTCGTGGCACTTTTGAGTTGTGAACCAAGTATCTGGACTTCTCTCTGTCTGACAAAAAAAAAGTAATAATGATAACCTGTGTTGCTTAAGCCACATTTATTCAGTTATCACCTTACTTGCATGCTGAGTGATACAATCTCAGAGGCAGGCTGGTTATATTCTTTTGGACCCCTGGTGAGCTGGTACACTAGCATCCATCCCTCAGTGAGTACTATGTGATGTTCCACAGTGTACTCTCTTTTGTACTTGAGTTACATTAAGTGATCCAGCAATCCTTACTGTCTGCATTTATATTGGATCTAATACTCACTCAAAAAAATGTTTGGTACTTTGATCCATACAATTTTATAGTTTAAGTGTCTCATGGAATACTTTATTTAGAGCTAAAAGGCGTCAACAAATATGGCCTGCTCCTTATATAAATAAGGATCAAAAGAGTAAAATGATTGTATGCCTGATATATGGGAACAACAAGGTTAGAACATATTCACCCAATGTTCCATACAGAAGACTTGTCCTAACACAGAATTATTGTTATTTACTCTGTGCCTTCTCGTAAGTGGATGCATTGCCAAAATGTCTGTTTTGATTGACTCCATCAGATATGTTAGCACTATCAAACAAATACGTCATTGAAAGTGCAGTGTCTGTTTTGATTGATTACACCTCTCTCCAGGTACTGACTTGTGACTCTTCCCATTTCAAAAATCTATGACCTAACTATAATTCATTGCCTCACCCAGTGGAGGTATTCAGAATTCTTTCTATTTCTGAGATCCTAGAGTTCTCTAATACAGAAACAAGGGTTCTTTCAACTAAAAATAAATAATCTAACCTCGGAGAAATGTGTAAACTCTTTGTGAGTATAGTCTTTTTCTATCCTTTTATGATAGGAAGAGAATTTCTAGGCTCTCTCCATCTTAGGCCAACTTCTGCCCACTTCCTCATAGGTCACCTCGAGGGGAGAAGTTTCTAATTGGATTGGTCTAAGTCTGAAACACTCACTGGATTGTGTTTAGTAGTAGGCATGGCTATTGGGCCTTAAAGAGAGAGTGTAGACACTCTGCCTCTGTCTCCACCACTTCTCAGGATCTTCTTAGTTCTCAGCAGCCATATAGCTGGTTGAGCTAAGACTTCAGTCTCTCTGAAGCATAATGATTTTGTGTTCATTTCCTCCTCTACTTCCTTTCTTCATCTGATGACCAAGAGGATGAGAAAATTCACATGTCTTAGACTGATAGGAGAAATGGGTGGTCAGATCAGAAGCGCACAATGTATCACACAAATCACTTTATGAAAGCTCTACATCATGATTTGAGGATGTGTGCATCTTTCAAGAAAGAAGCACTTTGATTCTTCTTTGTTGGTCTTTCTATGTTTAGCCTCTACTGAAACTCCATTAAAAGGAGCCTATTGCTTTGGCATTTCCTGTTCCCTGGCCATAATTATATCACAATTACTGAAACTCATCCATGATCCATACCATATTTGTTCAAGACATAGGGCAGAGACAGAGCATGAAGGATATCGATCATTTCTCTTCCCATTTGGGCAGGTCAAAGCCCTAGTGTTAGTAAGTGCAGATCAGAGATTTCCTTCTTTCCTTGTTGTTGGCAGAATCCCATGCAAAGCTCCCTCTCAAACACATTAAGTGTTGTTGGGGTGACTTTTTCAGTTATTCTAAAAAGCCTTTTTTAGGTGGAAGAGATTTGTGATTAGGTCTTTCTTGACTGCCTACTAGCAATTTAACGTTTTAGTAAACTTTAATTTTTAGAGTAGTTTACACAAAAATTATGAAGATTATACAGGAAATACCCACAAACCCTACACCCTGTTTCCTCTATGTATGACATATTTGTTATGTTAGCTATAATCAATGATAGTGTTACACTCACCAATATTGGTACCTCATTTTTATATAAAGTCCGTACTTTATTCAGAGTTCTTTGACTTTTTCCCCCTAATATTCTTTTCCTGTTTTAGGATCCCAACCATGATGTCACATTACATTTAGTTTTCATGCCTCCTTAGGCTCCTCTGGGCTGTTATGACAGCTTCCCATATTTTTCTTGTTTTAAATGACCTTGTGAACTTTGAGGAGGACCAGTCAGTATTTTGTGGAATAATCCTCTATTAAGATAATGCCATTCTCTTCAGATCGTATCAAGTGTACATAGTATCAACATAGTTTATCACTGTTGCTGACCTTGATCACCTGGCTGAATGACAATTTTACAGGCTCCTTCACTGTAAAGTTACTGTTTATTTTCTCTGTTATAATAATACTATATTATTTGGAAGGAAGTCACTATATGCCACTTACGCTTAAGGCATGTGGAGTTACATTCTACTCCTTTGTGGGTGTAGCATCTATATAAATTATTTGGATTTCTACATGGATAATTTGTCTTTTCTTATGTATTCATTCATTCATCCATTCATTCATATATTTATATCAGTATGAATTTATTGATATTTATTTTATATCTCACATTATAATATAAAACTAATTCATTTATCTTGTAGCTCAAATTGTTCTGGTTTTGATCACTGGGAGCTCTTTAATTGGTTTTTGTGTTCCTTTGAAATTTCTCTTCATTGTGGGTTTTGTTTTCTATTTGTTTTTTGTTTCAGCACTTTTTACTCGAGTACTGCAAGATGCTACAGGCTTATCTTTTTTTGTTTATGCTCCGGTCATAGAGTAAGTCATTTCTCCAAGGAGTTCTGGTTCCTTTGGTTGGAGAATGGTATTAGAAACCAAGATCTGGGAGCTCGATATGTTTCCCATTTTAATCCTAATTGTAGATTAATATTTTTTCTCTTTGACTCCTTTTTGCATTTTTGAATTAATGTTAATTTTAATTATTATTTTGTTGTTAAATTATCTCATTTCTTATTCAGAGTTAAGGTTGTGAGACTTAGCAAATAAAAATGCACTCTGCTCAATTAAATTTGAATTTAAAATAAATAACTATGTTTAGAATAAGCTTGTTCCACTTATTTTGGGAGCTACACTTATACTACATAAATATTAATTATTTATTTAGAATTCAGATTTAGATGTGTGTTATATTTTACCTGGTAATTCAATCCAAAGCTGAAGATTCCTCTGCTAAATGGAGGAGAAAACAGTGGTGAATTTTAGGACTGCCACAAAACAATACATGTTAATGAGTCCCAGGAAACTAAATTGTGAGTCAAGGTAAGCTTTGAGAAAGAAGTGTGTGATAGAAGTAGTTTTGCTTGAAAAACAGTGCAGTGCTGTGATTAAGAGTGCAAACTTGGCTTCCAGATCCCATAGCTTCTTAATTGGCCTCTGACATTACAGACTCAGGAATGTGAACAGCAACAGCTCAGAGCTAAGAATGCCTCCTTTTCTCACAAGGGTTGAGAAAACATACATGGCCACACAATTAAACCTGATGGAAACACTCTCTGCACTGCCATTACATCTAGATAGCATAGACTGGGGAATGATCAGGAGATGAGAAAAACTGAAAGCAAGAAAAGCTTCTACTTATTCTCTTCATTCTGTCATCCTTTGTCAAGTTCATACTGCAGTCTTTCCTTTGGTCTTTACCTGATAAAATTCGGCAGGACCACTGGAGTCACAGTTGGTTCAGAACAATAGGCGGTATGGGGTGTGTGTGTGTGTGTGTATGTGAGGGTGTTTGCGGGAATATGAAATGAGGTTCAGTGAGTCTGCAGATATATACATATGCATTGATGATGAGTGAAGAGAAATGTGTCTGTGCTGAGAGTATGTGTGGTATGTCAGTGTGCAATGTAATTTTGTCAGTGGGAGCTGGTACCTGTGTCTGAACGTGCAGTGCTGGGTAGAGACATGAGGATGTATGCAGTGAGTAGATGGCTGTGGAGCAAGCAATGTAATAGTGTAAGCTTTTCATTTGATCTTTTGAAATTCTTTAAAAAATGGCTAAATTTTTCACAGTTAAGTTTGCTTGACAGCTAAAATTTATTTGGAATTTTGTTGCAAAAATGTTTCGTGGTCTCTCTCTTCCCTCTCTGGTCTTTGTTGGTCTAGCCTCTTTCCTCTTCTTCTACTTCTCATACTGTAGGCCAGACATTAAATGTATGAAACCAAGCAAAATAAGGCACTGTTGAGAGATTGTATATTTAACCTGAGAGAAAAGAATTGGTTCAGCCAGGATCCTCATTCTGGAAAATAGGTACATTTTGTCTGAAGTTTTGCTACTGAGGACAAGAGGCTTCAGAAACAAAAAATCGATATTAAATTGTGGCAATTTTAGACAGGGGACACTAACTATGGTTAAGTTTCAAGCAACTCAGCAGCCAGGTACACATACATCTGCAGCAGAATATGAATATTCAAATAAACACATAGCTTTTATCACATTTCCTCTTTTATTTTCATGTTGAAATATTCTCAAATGCAAGGAGAAGAGACATGGCTTGAATTAAAGAACAGCCATAGTTGAAGGCTTATCACACTTAGAGTGCATGGGACAACAATATCAATTATTTACAGTGTAAGATATAAGGCATTAATATTTTATTTCATGTCAGGAACCACATGGCATGTAAAAGGCAGATTCTAAAATGAGTTTCATAGGTACTTGAAGGTAACGTGAGAAAGCGCAAAATGGCAAATATGCAATTTCTTTTAAACACAAAATAAGCACAGTTTAGAAGAGCTCGAATCAAACTTACAAAAGCAATTTTTCAAAATGATTCAAAGTACTGTTCTTATAATAGATACTTAATTCACAAGCCTTCTTCTTAGTACCAGATGGCACAGTGCGCTGTGCAAAGCCATGAGGGTGGGAGCACCATTGTTACGACACTGGCAGGAAGAGACTAGCCCAGGCCTCTTCATTCCAGATTAAATAGAAACACCAGCTCCAAGGCAGTGCTGGTGGCCTGCCTGCACAGACTTTGCCTATTGAAAGGCAGAAAAAAATATTAATGAAGAATTAAATTGATTTAAAAAGTAATTTATTGGAGAAAACAAAAAGTAAAATAAAACTCTAAAGTTAAATAAATTAAATTAAATTGATTTAAAAGGTATTTCACACAGTAATTACATAATTTAATTTTACAGTTTCATATGTGGATGCTCCTGGACTTATGATGGGGTTATGTCCCATTAAACCATTGAAAATTGAAAATATCCTAATTCGAAAATCCATGTAACACATCTAACCTACCAAACATCATAGCTTAGCCTAGTGTACCATAAACATGTTCAGAACACTTATATTAGCCTATAGTTGGGGAAAAATCATCTAACAGAAAGCCTATTTTATAATAAAGTGTTGAATATTTTAAATAATTTATTGAATACTTTACTGAAAGTGAAAAACAGAATGGCTGTATGCGTACTCAAAGTACCGTTTCTAATGAATGCATATCACTTTTGCACCATCTGAAAATACAAAAAAGTCATAAGCAGAACCACTATTAAGCAGAGGACTGTCTGTATTTTAAATTACATAAGTGGCTTGAGAATACATTTTGATATAAAGCACTTTAAATGGTATAGATATAAGTGCCTCTCTTGCATATCTTGTATACCTTCACCTACCAAACCAAAGAATGAATATATATAAAATAATCATGGATCAATGTATTTCATTTTAATCGTATAATATTTGCTTTGAAGTACATTAAGACTTGAATTTTTTTCTGGGTAGCACACAGAGCTATAATTCACATTCTACAGTTTTGTTTTTGTTTTTAATATGGACTCATGATAGCTAATTTAAATCTTGTGCTTTTAGTACAAATATAAAATGATGCTTTATCAAATTTCAAATCCACTATTATTTTATACGAAAGTATAGATATATAGATGTTTTATCAACTTGTCCAGACTGACATCATTAATTTAAAAAAATATACCAATCTATTTTATGTTTAGACATTAATTCATAATTTAAATGTTCTTGATTAGTAGTTTTGTTAAGTATCTTTTTTTTTTTCTTTGCTTTACAAGTCGTATTTTCCCTTCTTTAAAGCATGTTTAAACTGTGGGATTTTTTAAGTTGTATGTTTTTCAAACATATTTGAAGATGTTCTGCACATATTTTCTACAATTTAATATATCCCAGCACATATTTTTCTCAGCATTTTGTGTATCTTTTAATATGTGTTTACAAGATCATTTTCTCCATAAATGAAGGTAAGGGCGAGTCGCTTGAATTTTTCAAATCTTTTCTTTATTGATTTTGATTTTTGGTGTCTTTTTGAAGACAGCTTCCTTACAGTAACATTATAACCATATTCTTATGTATTTTTAAACATTTTTTGAAGTCCTTATTTAAGACTGAGTGCTTTGATCCACCTTTTATTTATTTGTGCAAACGTTTAAAGTTTCAATCAATTTCATTTGTTCTCCAAAGATATGGCTTAATGTTCACAAATTATTCATTGGTTGGCTTACTCTTTTTCTAAGGACGTAAAAGCCAGCTTCCCTGCGTGACCTTGCAGGTAATGTATGGCCCACCTCACAAAGGGGCACTATTCACAAGGACCTCAATATGGACTGCACAACTCAGGGCTGTATAGCCGTTGTCTCCCTCTGAAATGTCAACTTTATCATTAACTGAATTTCCAAATGCACATGGACTCTCTTCTGTTCTAATGGCCAGTTTGTAATTTATATCAATATCATCTTCCTTTCAATACTAATTTTCTCTTCCTCAAATTTTAGAAATACTTTGTCAAACTCTACAAAAACTCCTGTAGGGATTTGAATAGCATGGCCTTGAATTGAATAGCGTTGCCATTCTATTGAATGTATAGAACACCTTGGGGGAGGAAGTAGGTCTTTACAATATTGATTTTTATCATCCTTGAACTAAGATTTATTCATTTATTTGGGCATACTTTTTTGAATGTCCAGTTAGATAAGCTTATTTTGTTTTTCTTCTATAATATTTAAAGAGATAAAATGCATTGACACATTTATAATATTGAATTATCTTTGAATTTTTAAAATTAAAATATTTTAGTTTGGGCTTAATATTTTTGATATATTGCTAGATTGTATTATTAATGCAGGGACCCCCAGTATCTAAGTATTCATAATGTGAGTTGGCATTGTAAGTTTCCTAGAAATGACCAAAAAATAATTTTATTTATCTGGTAAATTATATTGATCTCCACTCAAATGTCCCTCTCTGTTTAACATTGGGTGTCTATCACAGCTCATGCTATAAACCTTAAGTCTATCTCTGATTGTCAGAAACTCTGGTTATTTTACAAATATAATATAAACAGACTGCACAGTAAGATCATATATATCACAGAAGATGTAGAAATTTAGGAGTTAGTAAAATTAACGGTTGAACGTGAAAGTAATTAATTCATTCAATAAATATTAGTGAATCAACTACTGTGTGTCAGGAATGATTTTATTTGTTGGGGATATAACAGTGAAACCAAATGAATAAAATCTCTACATGTTATAGATATTACATTCTATTAGAAGACACAGATAAACAAATTATAAAAGAAAAACAAAGTGCCAGTTAGTGACAAATATGACAAGAAACTACAAGACCAAATACAAAGCAGAGTAGGAGAACAGAGCGTGAAGGTAGGAAGAGGAGTGAATTTAGACAGGATGTTCAGGGATATCACAAAAAAATTAAAAAACATTTTCATATTTCAACCAGATAAAAAAATCAAAGACAAGAAATAACTAAGGTAAGATGTGTATTTAAATGTGAAAAGATTAAAAGGTTTTTGAAGAAAGTGATGAAATTCTCAAAACTGTTTTGTAAAAGTGCCCTGCCCGCGTGATAATTTGCAGCATGCAAATGTTGACTAAAGAGAAAGTAGTGGAATTCTGGCATGTCGTGGCTTTAGGAAAACAACAATAATAACAGCAATAATGAATATCTTGGAGTTCTAATGTCTAATATGCCTAACAATGGCAACAGCGCAATCATAACCTGAATTTTGTTAAATATGACATCAAATTATGTTCATAAATTTAATTGCATTTTGTCAAATTTAAACCTAAATAAACCTTTCTTTATAATCTTCTCTAAAATGTTGGCCATTTTTTTTGTTTTTTTTGTTGTTGTTTTTGTTTTTTTTTAGCATTTTAGGGTGTTTATTAAAATTTCCATGTATTACCCAAATTCTGTAACCATACAGAGGAACACACAGAGGGTCTTATAAGTGAGTCAACTAATGGAGGGAGATTTCTGTTTCCTTTTTTTTTTTTTTTTAATTATTATACTTTAAGTTTTAGGGTACATGTGCACAATGTGCAGGTTAGTTACATATGTATACATGTGCCATGCTGGTGTGCTGCACCCATTAACTCATCATTTAGCATTAGGTATATCTCCTAATGCTATCCCTCCCCCCTCCCCCCACCCCACAAAAGTCCCCAGAGTGTGATGTTCCCCTTCCTGTGTCCATGTGTTCTCATTGTTCAATTCCCATCTATGAGTGAGAACATGCGGTGTTTTGTTTTTTGTCCTTGTGATAGTTTACTGAGAATGATGATTTCCAATTTCATCCATGTCCCTACAAAGGACATGAACTCATCATTTTTTATGGCTGCATAGTATTCCGTGGTGTATATGTGCCACATTTTCTTAATCCAATCTATCATTGTTGGACATTTGGGTTGGTTCCAAGTCTTTGCTATTGTGAATAGTGCAGCAATAAACATACGTGTGCATGTGTCTTCATAGCAGCATGATTTATAGTCCTTTCGGTATATACCCAGTAATGGGATGGCTGGGTCAAATGGTATTTCTAGTTCTAGATCCCTGAGGAACCGCCACACTGACTTCCACTATGGTTGAAGTAGTTTACAGTCCCACCAACAGTGTAAAAGTGTTCCTATTTCTCCACATCCTCTCCAGCACCTGTTGTTTCCTGGCTTTTTAATGATTGCCATTCTAACTGGTGTGAGATGGTATCTCATTGTGGTTTTGATTTGCATTTCTCTGATGGCCAGTGATGATGAGCATTTTTTCATGTGTTTTTTGGCTGCATAGATGTCTTCTTTTGAGAAGTGTCTGTTCATGTCCTTCGCCCACTTTTTGATGGGGTTGTTTTTTTTTTCTTGTAAATTTGTTTGAGTTCATTGCAGATTCTGGATATTAGCCCTTTGTCAGATGAGTAAGTTGCAAAAATTTTCTCCCATTTTGTAGGTTGTCTGTTCACTCTGATGGTAGTTTCTTTTGCTGTGCAGAAGCTCTTTAGTTTAATTAGATCCCATTTGTCAATTTTGTCTTTTGTTGCCATTGCTTTTGGTATTTTAGACATGAAGTCCATTTTGTTTTAAAAGCATTGCAAATTAATAGCATTTCCTCATTTAGACTCAGATCATGAAGGCCTCTGATTTTTTATTGAAATTTATGAATTTCAATATATGTGACTTTAGCTTATATTTCTTCTATTTCATTTCAGTTTTGGCATTGAAGTTTTACAGGCCTTGTAAAATGTGTATGGGAACTTTTTAATCATTTTCTCTGTTCTAGCAAAGTCTATGTAATATAGGATAACAAAATATTTTTAACAATGGATAGAAATTGCTTATAAATCAGTTTGGGTTTGGCACCTTTTAGGGATTAATAATTGACAAATTTTTAAAGTCTTTGTTTTTCTTATCATATTCAAGTGTTATAATTGGAATCAGGTAATGTTGATGATATTTTCTTAGTATGGTGTTTGTATTGGTTATTGAAATGTAATTCTACACTATTGTGCACATATAGGGTTTTTGAAGTAAACTTTCAATACAGTAAAATGTATAAGTCTTAACTGTTTAGTCTTCACATTAATGGAATCATACATAATGTAGTCTTTTGTGTTTGGTTTGCCTGTAAGTTTAATCCTTATTGTTGGGAATTTACTAGTTTGTTACTTTTTATTAACAGATATATTATTTCTTTACATGACAACAATACAAACTCTACATCCTTTCTTTTGTTAATGGGTATTAGTATTTCTTGTTTGGTTTTACGAATAAAGCTGTTGTGAATGTTCTTGTTGAAGTCATTCTATGGATATATGTTTAAATATCTCCTAGGTAAGTTGGACTGAAATTATTATGTGACTGCGTAACAACACAAGAAACTTCAAACTTTCCCTAAAATAATTAGATCATTTGGTATCCCCACCAGTAATATAAAAGTGGTGTAGTTCCTACACATCCTCTCCAACTTTTGGTGCTGTTAAGGTTTTTATGTTTTGTTTTTTTTTTTTGTTTGTTTTTATACAGGGTCTTGCTCTGTTGCCCAGGCTGGAGTGCAGTAGTGCCATCACAGCCCCTTGCAGCCTCAACTTTCCAGGCTCAAGTAATCCTCCCACCTCAGACTCTCTAGTAGCTGGAAATATTTACACACCAGCATGACTGGCTAACTTTTACTTTATTTTATTTTTTGTAGCTATGGCGTCTCACTGTATTGCCCAGGCTGGTCTCAAATTCCTGGGCCCAAGTGATCCTCCTGCCTCATCCTCTCAAAGTGCGGCAATTGCAGGCATGAGCCACCTCACTGGCCTGTTGTTTTTAATTCTAGCATTTGAGTGAGATTATATCAGTAACTTGTAGTTTTAATTCACATTTTCCTCACAAGTAATGATATTTAGCAGCTTTTTATGTATACATTGGTAACTTATTCCTCTGTGAAGCTTTTTGACCATTCTTGTGTTGGATTGCTTGTCTTCAATTTCCTTACAGTTGCTTCAGCTTCCTTGCAATAACATTATAACCCTATTCTTATGTATTTTAAAACATTTTTTGAACTGTTTTGAACTGAGAGAACAAGTTTTGAACTGAGAGAAAAAGACTGTACTCACAAAGAGTTTACACATTTCTCCAAGGTTAGGTTATTTATTTTTAGTTGAAAGAACTCCTTGTTTCATTGAACTTGTTTCAAATGAACTCACTAGGCTTTCTGATATTAATATTGCCACTCTGCTTTTTTTTTTGCTCACTGATAATCTACTCTCAGTCTGCATATGATTTTTTAAAGTGCATCTCAATAGTAGGAAGGTTCATCAAAAAACTAAAAGTCAAACTAAGATATGATATGGTAGTTCCACTTCTTGGTGTATATTCACAAAAAAGGAAGTCAGTATATCAAAGAGACGTCTGCACTCCAATGTCTACTGCAGCACTACTACTCAGGATAGCCAAGATATGAAATCAACACAAATGTCAAGCAATGGATTAATGGATAAAGATAATATGGTATATATATACAACAGAATATTACTTAGGCATGTAAAAATAAAATCCTGTCACTTGCAGCAAAATGGATGGAACTGGAGGTTATTATGTTAAGTGAAATGAACCAAGTACAGAAATCATAATTTCTCACTCATATGTGGGAGCTGAAAAAGTGGATCTCATGGAGAAAGAGAGTAGAATGGTGGTCACCAGAGGCTGGAAAAGGAAGTTGGTGGGTGGGGAGGATGAAGAGAAGCTGGTTAATGGATACAGAACTACAGTTAGATAGAAGAAATGAGTTCTAGTATTTGATAGTACAGTAGGAAAATTATAGTTAATGATAATTTATTGTATATTTCAAAATAGCTAGTAGAGGAGAATTGTAATGTTCCCAACACAAAGAAAAAAATAAATGTTTGAGGTGACGGATATTCCAATTACCCTAATTCAATTATTACACATTGTATAAAAATATGTACTCCAAAAATATGTACAAACATTATATATTATACCTTGGCTATTTAAGGTTCTTTGAATTTACATATAAATTTAGAATTAAGTTGCCAACTTCTATAAAAATTCCTGCTGAGATTATGACTGTTTGCATTAAATATATTTATTGAAGTATGTTATTATATTTCTCTCAGCAATATTTTATAATTCTCATGCAGATGTATTGCACATTTGTTAAATTAATCTCTAAATATTTTATATTTTATCATGTTACCATAAATGGACTTAAATAATTTCAATTTCAAATTTCGACTCTCAGTACCTAAATACATCATTGATTACTGTATATTGAGCTTATACTTTGCAATCATGCTAACTTTACTAATTTACTCCAAGATATAGTCCTCCTTATTTTCTCTATCCATGAGCATGTCATCTGTGAAAAAATAGTTCTACTTTTTCCTTTAAAATCTATATGCCTTTTACTTATTTTTCTCAGTATTGTATAGGACTTCTAGTACAAAGATGAATTGAAGTGGTGAAGTACGAGTTCTTGAATATTTTTCAGTCTTGGTGGAAATAATCTACTATTTCACCAATAAATATGATGCTAGCGATATCTTTCCAGATGACCTTTATTAGGTTAAGAAATTTCCTTTCATTCCTTGTATACTGAGAGATTTTCATCTTGAATGAATGCTAAATTTGTAATATGCTTTTGCCGCATTTACTGAGATGATTTGGATTTCAGGAAGATACACATTTAAATTTTTATATCTTCCTCATGTACTGCAGCTTTTATTATTACAAACTGTCCTTCATATGTAGTAATATGTCTTTTCCTGAAATCTAGGCTTTCTGATATTAATATTGCCACTCTGCTTTTTTTTGCTCACTGATAATTTACTCTCAGTCTACTTATGATTTTTAAAGTGCATCTCAATAGATATATTGTTGGCTATTTTGGTTTTATTAAGTCTAACAAACTTATTTTCCATTGGAATATTCATATATGTCTATATGAATTTATGTCTACTGTTTTACTATTTATTTTCTATTTTTCTTGTCCATTTTATATTTCTCTAAATCTTTTCTATGATCTTTGCTAAATTAAAATATTTTCAGTATTACATTTTAAGGACTTTTTGTCCTTTAAGTATAACCCTTTGCATTAATTTTAGAGGTTTTTCTTTTAAATTTAATTAGAATTTCTTTTGAGTGAATATTGGATTATATCATGTAGAATCTGGAAACCTGAAACAGTGCAGTTGCACCTCAACACTTTTGTGCCATTTATGTTATTATCATATATAGCATACCTAAGTACATTATATACTTTATAATCAGTGTTATAACATTCCATTAACAAAAATAAGAGAGTAAATAACATATAGATATAAACTTGTACATTTTTCCACATTTACCATGTCTGTTTCTTGTCATTAATTCCTGCAAATCTGAGTTAGTATCTGTGTCATTTCCTTCAGCTTGAACTTCCCGTAAGCATTTATTTTAGTGAAGGTTATGGGCAACCCATTTTCTCAATTATGCTTTACCTAAAAATGCCTTTATTTCATCACTGTTAAAAAAATATTTTGCTAGATACAGTAGTTGATGTAAACAGTCTTTTTCAGCACTTGACAGATTCCATTCAATTTTCTTCTGTCTTCCATTGCTTCTAGTGAGAAATCAGTTGTTACTTGTATCTATGTTCCCCTTTTTGTAATGTGAGCCTTCACAGTTTCTGCTTAACATTACCTTTCTGCAGTTTGAATATGATGTGGCTAGCTGTAGTTCTGTTTGTATTTATCATCAGTGGCATTTGCTGTGCTTCTTGGATCCGAAAGACAAATGTTTTTTTCTAAATTTGGAATGTCTTGGCCATTCTTTCTTTTGTTTTCCAACTCCTCCCCCCCAACTACTTTTGATGATAAGATTACTACTATGTTGAACTGATTGATATTGTTAGGTAAGCCTCTCAGGCTTTGCTCATTTTTTTCTCATCCATTTTTCTTTGTTCTTGTAACTGTGTTAATTTCTATTGGTTACCTTTAAGTCACCTGTAAATAAAGAGTTTTACATTCTATTGTATCCCATCAACAAGCCTAGCTAGTGTGCTTTTTATCTTATTTATTGTACTTTTCAGCTCTAGAATTTCTATTTGGTTTAACTTCTAGTGTCTACAATTCATACAGTGGTTAATCTTTCATCTATTTGTTAAAGTATATTTTTGTTTAATACTTGAAAATATTTACAGCAGCTGCCTTAAGGTTAGTGCGTGTGCTAGGTCATCTCAATGTCTGTCAATTTTTTTCTTTCCTTAGGCATGGCTCATATTTTACATTTTCTCTCTCTGTTTAGCAACTTTTAGTTTTTTGTACAACACTGTGAATAATATGTTATTAATCCCCTAGATTCTACTATATTCCCCCGAAATATTTTCCAAACTCGTGCCCACCATTCAGCAGGCAGTTCACTTGGGTGGATCCTACAAATACAGTGCACTCTCCCTTTCTCTCACTCTCTCTCTCTATCAATGAACACCAGCTGAAATCTGTTCAATTATTTCAGATTTTAGCTTCTGTTTGTTCACTGGATCTTGTGGATCTCTGAAGAACTCTCATGCATAGAGGTTAGGGTTTATGTATACGTTATTTGTGCACATCTTCTATGTGTTTCCTTCTGTTCCAGAGTTTTCTCACTTCAGCTTTCATCTATTCTCCTGGCTCCTAACTGTTGTCTGTACACCTCAAGCTAGTAAGACTATGACTTTTTACCACCCAAACAGCATGTTCTGATTGAGTAATAATCTTATGCAAAAAAAAAGGAAGACACAAACTATCAAATATCTTTGGTACAAATGATACCTTTCTCCAGTTGCTTCCTACTTTTAGTCACTTTGTTGTTGTTAACATTTTGTCCATGTTTTATAAATGTTATTTGTGAGCAAGGCAAATTACCCAAATCACTCCACCATTACAAGAAGATGTAAGTCTATTACATTGTTTCTAAAATCTTCTTTCCAGCTAAACTATAAATGTTTTATCTCCAAGTATCCATGTCTTTGACTTTTCGTTTTACTTCTTGGGGGCTTTCCTTTGCATTTGGCTTCATACACTTGTATTGCATTGATATTTATTTCTATTTCAAATGACATTGTTCTCATTTTTTTAGAGGCAATATCTGCTCTAATCTTTCTGGGAACATCAATCATTTTTTAGAAGTTTCATTCTATATGAAATTTAAATATTTCACATAAGAGGCAACAGAGATTGGCAGGATTAAGAATTTGATCTGGGTCTATATTTCGTCTATAGTTCTAACAAGGTATGGAAATTTGGAAAGCTGCTGCTTAATAAGAGTTCAACCAAAGGAAATAAGATATTAGCCATAAATAAAATAGATGGACTATACAAACGGAATTAGATTCATAGGTGATGAAAGAGGCTGAGAGGTTGAGCAATGTAAAATGAGGCAACTAAAGTATTAGCAAGAAAAGGTGCCTCTATTATCTCCTGGTGGGGCAAAGGAAGGAGCTATTGTTATTAGAGTCTATGCACTAACCTGAAAGTCGAAATCAAGGTGGATATGTCTGCTGAGAGATGAACCCTCACCATAGACACTGAGGCTATCTCATAATGCAGCAGCTAAGTATACAAAACATACAATATACCTTGTGCTCAGGGCACAAAAGGAGAAGGAGAAGTGTCTTTCCTTTTCTTTCCTCCTGACTTTTGACAGATTTCTAGTGCCTCCATTGGCCAAACTTCCTGGGAGATAGCTGACATAGCTTTTTGGGAAATATGGCCTGATGTTACCAATTAAAACAACAAAAGGACCAGGAGTATATATGAAAGCAGACAGTACTATAGGGACCACACATCTATTTAAACTTTAATTTATTTTGCTTTGAAATAAGGATCTCAATTCCTAACATTAGATGCTTGAGGGAAGATTAATACAATAATATATACCACTTCCTGGCGCATAAGTAAGAAATTAAAAATGTTAGGTAATTGTTACTTATATAAATTCACGCAGCCATTTTTACAATGAGAAGAGATATATTAATGTCACTGAAAGCGCTGAAACATGTATTTTTGTGGCAAATTGCAAAAAAAAAATGGCTACAAATGCCTCCCACTCTTTTATGCACATGCTTTCAAAATGTGAGTTTGTGAGACATTCAGTTCCTGATATGACATGCAGAGCTTGGAAGTTGTCACCCCCGTCTTCACAGAAAAAAACTGCACAAACTGACAATCAACAACTATTCTTATATTCTTTAAGGATTGATGTCAGTGGGCAAACTGCTGTCTCCAAAACTGGAGGGACAGTTGGATGCGGAGCATCACAGCTTGTCAGGAGCAAGAGTCCACAGCTGGAGCCACTGTTGTTAGGGTCATTGCTGGAGGCAGAATGTTTACCAACTTATGAAATAAAAACCCTAAAGGGGCACAATGCAGATGGACCCCATACTTTTACGTTTGACCTCCAGGAATCTAACCAGGTACTCATTACTAAAATTAGAGAAAAATTTTATTATGCTTCCAGCACTGGGAGAAGAAAATAACCATTTTGAAATATGTCCAGAGCTTGCTATTTTCCATAACAAGACCTGCTTTCAAGAAGAAAACTACTTTATTAAAGCCTGTCTGTGATTTTTCCAAAGCCTATCCAAACTGGGAGAATGAAAATACCCAACTCCAGCCCATTCTAGCATTCAACTTGAATAAACAGAAATATCCAGCTCCAGCACCCTTCAGCCTTTGACAGGGGGAAGGAAAATATCCAACTCAGACTCACTAAAAGACTGAGACCTCATCTGATGATGACAGAATGCCTCCCTTCCCTCACATACACCTTGCCACCACATCAGTTTGGCTCCTGTATAGCAGAGGATTGCAGATAACAGAACTGCAAGTCGCAGACTTCATGTAAGGAATCTCTAGGAAAATCCAAAGACAACAAAGGAGAAAAAAACAAGGACACAGAGGTAATTTTAGCTTCTGACAACACCGCTCTACCAAACACTAGGCACAGTCTAACTCCAAGCTGGATAAACATAGAACTTTGCTCTAAAGGCTTGACTACCTCAATTCATTTTACCCAATACATCATGTCTGACTTAAAAAAAAAAAAAAAACAGGATATGCTACAAGCAAAACTACAGTATCAAGTAAAAAAAAAAACCAAATGTCAGAATCAGATTCAAATATGACAAAGATCTGGGAATTATTAGAATGGGAATTCAATATAATTATAATTAATAGGCTGAAGTTTACAGAGGGCAACTAAACATGTGAAAAGATCCTCAACATCATTTGTCTTCAGGGAATTGCAAATTAAAACAATGAGGTGCCATTACATACCTGCTGGAATGTTTAAAATGCAAAATACTGGCAACACCAAATACGAATGGGGATGTGGAGCAACAGGGATCTCATTTATGCCTGGTATGAGTATAAATGGTATAGCCACTTTGGAATACAGGTTGTCAGTTTCTTACAAGATAAACATAGTCTTATTATAAAATCCTGCAACTGTGCTCCTAAGTATTTACCCAATAAGTTGAAAAAGGTAATGCTCACACAAAATCCCGCATAGGAACATTTATAGCAGCTTTATTCATCTTTGTCAAAAATTGGAAACAACCAAGAAGTCCTTCAAAAGGTGAATGGAGAAACAAGCCATAATGCATCTACTGAATGGAATATCATTCCACAGTAAAAACAGTGAGTTCTCTACTCATGAAAAGACACAGAGGAAGCTTAAAATTTTATTGCTAAATGAAAGAAGTCAGTCTAAAATAATTGCATACTATATGATTCCAGCTATGTGACATCTGGAAAAGAAAAGATCTGTAAAACTATGGAGAAAGTGAAAATATCAGTGGTTTCCAGTGATTAATGAAGAGAAAAGAATGTATAGGCAGAGCACGGAGGATTTTTAGGACAGTAAGACTATTTTTTTGTAATACTATAATAGTGAATACATGACATTATGCATTTGACCAAACCCAAAGAACTAGACAACAAATAAAGTTAACTCTAATGAAAGATATGCACTGTATTTGATAATGAGATATCAATATTGGTTCATCAATTGTAACCACACACATACCACACTAATGCAATATATCACTATAGAGGAAGCCATGAGCAAGGCCTGGGGGAGAGTGAGTGTATGGAAACCCTACTTTCTATTTGATTTTCCCATGAAATGGAAATTGCTCTAAGAAATAAAGTTCATTAAAAGATAAGTTTACTTTTGAAGAAAAATTGACTTTGCTTTTTCTTTCATCACAGTTAAAGTCTACCTCTTTATCCATTAAACCTGTGTATAATCATGTGATGTGTCTCAGCTAATAGCATTTTAATAAGTGTTAATTGAAATGTGCTTGTGCACTGGGGATTGTCTTCTCTACCACAGGAACCGCTTAGCCACCAAGAGAAGACCAAGGTAGTTTTGTAAAGAATGAGAACACGTAAGGTCAAGCACAGTGGCTCATGCCTGTAACCCCAGTACTTTGGGAGGCTGAGGTGGGAGGATTTCTGGAGCTTAGGAGTTCGAGGCCAGCCTGGGCAATATAGCTAAACCCATCTCTGCAAAAGAAAAAAATCCAAAAATTAGCTGGGCGTGGTAGCATGTGCTTGTGGCCCCAGCTGCTCAGAAGCCTGAGGTGGGAGGATCACTTGAGCCCAGGAAGTTGTGGCTGCAGTGAGTCACCTTCATGCCACTGCACTCCAGCCTAGGCAACACAGCAAGACCCTATATCAAAAAATAAAAATAAAAATAAAAAAATAAAAAATAAAAGAAAACAGAAAGAAAGAAAAAAATGAGAACACATAAAACAGATGAAACAGAGATAAGTCATCCTAGCGTAGGGCTCCTAGACCAACCCAGCCACCAGCTGATTGTGACCACAAGTTACTCCAGGTGAAACTAACAGGAAAACTATCCTGCTGAAGCCAGCCTAAACTGCTAACCTACCAAATTATAAGTAAATTAAATGAAGGTGGGTTAAAGGCACTGAATATTTTCAGTGGTTTCTCAGGCAGCAATAGATAACTGATACATTTGCATACTGAGTTTTGGTTACAGCTCCTTTATCAGCAAATCATGACATTGAGGAAGCCACTTTACATTGTAGTTCCCAGTTTTTGTTTGTTTGTTGACTATAAAATAATATAGCAGGCAGAGAGCTGAAAGAGGCTGCACTTCTACATTTCTAGGTTTCTTCCAAATCTGAAATTCTATAAATATGACAAAGAAAGTTTGGTCAGTTTCTTTTTCATTCCATAAACTTACTCAAAGATCTCTTCTCCCTTTCCAAAGAATCTAATTTGAAGTATTGTTTATAGATATCTCATTGTGATGGCACAGATCTCCTGTCAATAAAATGAGCTTCAAATGTGACATTTAAAAATTTACAAGAGTTTAAAAAACTCTCAGAGTCCACAGCTACATCAATACTAATAATGTCTGTTTCCAATGTTGTCATCATTGCAGCATACTGGAAGAAAGGGCATGGTTTTAAAATCTGACTGATTTAGGTTTTAATACCAGCCCTGCATCTTTGTAATATTAAGGAAATTACTCAACACGTGGTTACTGGCCAGCAGATACATGTAAACATATAACATTGTCTTTCTCTGAGTATTATTCAGGGAAAGATGAATAAAGATCATGAGACACCATTCCTCATCCATTCAAGTGGCAAAAGTTTAGAGGTAAAAATTCCAGCGGTAAGAAAGTTTGTGCATCAATAGAGTACTTCAAAAATGCAAAAGAAAGCAATGTAAACATTGGGAAATAACTCAAATTCCCTCTGACATAAAAATGAGTAAATGACTTAATGTACATTGAGTATAGTGCCGTAACTATTGAATGAATTGCAGCTCCATTCAACAGCATGGATAAAACTTAGCGCATAGTTACTGGCAGTGAAACCGTACAGGTCTGTAGCAACCTCAACTCTTGCCTCCTCAGAAGAAAGAATTCTACCAAGGGGCATAAGGCAGAATGAGAGACCAAGGCAAGTTTTAGAATAGGAATGAGAGTTTGTTAAAAAGGTTTAGAGCAGGAACAAAAGGAACTAAAGTACACTTGGAAGAGGGCCAAGCAGGTGACTTGAGAGAGCAAGTGCACTGTTTGACCTTTGACTTGGGGTTTTATATGTTGTCATACTTCCTGGGTCTTGCATCCCTTCTCCCATAATTCTTCCCTTGGGGTGGGATGACCACATGCACAGTGGCCTACCAGCACTTCGGAGGGGCCACACGCACAGTGTATTTACCAAAATTGTGCACATGCTCACTTGAGGCATTTTTCCCTTACCAGTTGAGTGTTTCTAGAAGAAGGTCATATACCAGTTCAATTCTGCCATTTTGTCTCTTAGTTTGGATGCTTGAATACGCAGTCACCTAACCCCTAAGATCTTACTGGGAAGCTGCTGAACACTAACTTAAGATGTTTTTATCTATTGGGAGACTGTTTTTCCCTTGCGCTGGCTGTGACCAATTACTATTTTAGGGAGGCAATTTAACAACCACCTGATGGCTTCCTGACATTCCTGGTAGGAGGTGAGGGGGCCCTCTCCTGCCCCACTCATGTCTGCCTGGCTACCTACCATAAAAACATAATTTTAATAAGATGGGAGTACCTAAAACATTGCATACAGTATGAGATCTTTCAAAAATAATGTTAGAAAGACAACCAAATACTCAAATATACTTTTTTGAATACAGTACATATGGATGTGATGAAATAATTTAAAATTCAAAGCAAGGGCATGATGAACACACAATTCAGAATAGCAGTTATTCTGGGTCAGGAAAAGAGGAAAAGACGATGAAAGAGGATCACAGAAAGGGATTTAAGTTTTTACATAGGGTATTAAGTCTAATAGTGTTTATTATTAATAAAGAATGGAGTAAAGACGGCCTTGAATGGACCAATGAAGAGGGAGTAATATATCAAGGCTTATAACTAATTTCTGTGCATCTGTTGATCTTGAATCCACAAGAAAGAAAAGGTCAATGACATGAAACTATATACCTCCTAATTTTAAATGGGAAAAATATATCAAAACATATATGCTATAGGACTCCAAGGTCATATAGTAATAAATGATGGGGAAGGGGAGAGCAAATGGGAGGACCAGAATCATTTTTTTTTTATGTGCCCAGACACTCTCTGCAATCCAGTGATAAATTGAAAGGTTTTTGGATGAATGGGGCTGTTGTTTTCTGCTACCTTACTACATTTTACTGTCAATATTCACACACTTGATTTTTTTTTCTTCAGTACCCTCATCAGTGACTGGCTTCAGATTGGTTAACAGTAGTTACTAATCTTCATTGAATGCTTAAAAGCAGTATACATTAACTCATTCAAGGCACATAAATATTCTTTTTTATCATCATTTTACAGAGGAGGAAAATACAGCTCAGAGAGGTTAAGGAAAATGCCCAAGGTGCTATTACTAAGGTGAGGTAGAGATAAACAAGGTTCTAGGCAGTGTGCTCCAGAGACTACACTCTTAACCATCAGTTCCTCCTGCCTTTTGGTACCACAGTTTCTCCATCAATGCTGCATGGATAGATAAACAAACCCAGGGCCCATGATGCATTGATGAACACAAAGAGTTTCTCCTACAGAGAGGCTGTGTTAATAGTTCCCTGAATTCTTCAAATAAATGCCAGCTCTTCACCTGGTTCTCATTGCTGAGATCCCAGCATGCTTGTGCCCATATTTACACGCCATATTATTCCTGACACACATAAGACAGAAAAATTCTTCTGAATATTTTCTGAATAGATGAATAGCTTTGGGAATATCCGTTCCCTGGGGCCAGTATCTGAGGCTGCTATGGCCTTCCTGAGAAGGAGGCCATCCCAGTCTGTTGTGTAAATTCACTATTGTCCTCAATAGACACTGTCCTGCAGGTGCAGATGACCTGAAGCCATTAGTGCTCAGTATTTGTGCCAGAATCTTTCTGTCAATAGAAACATCTCTGGTAACATCCAAGAGGAAATGAACCACAAGATGTAGCAGTACATAAAATCCAGGTGCATAAAGTGTCACTACAAACACTGGAAAATGCATTTTCTTTTTCTCCCTCAACTTCTCCTGCTCAAGAAGTGGGCATTGAGGTGCTGGATGCCCTCCTAGATGCAGAAACAAGACCGCTGTAGCTGCTGAGCCCCTGTATGCCAGAAGGCAATGAGATAAAGAAAGCTAAAATGTTGGTAGCCAGATATTGAATCCTGACAGCTCTGTTTATTGGAAATATATACTTAGGAAAATCACTTAGCTTCTTGCAGCCTCACTTTCCCCTTCTTTAAACCAAGAACTTCTTATAAAACAGAGATCTGTAAACTAAATAAGATAAAGTGTGCAATTAATTCCTGCCCTCTTCAAAGAAGTTCCGATGCAGTGACCTGCATATTTGTGCATATGCCTAGCAAATGCTTGTGGTGGATACTTTGTGAGTCAGGCCCTCTTCTCACTGCTGGGGATTCAGCAGTGAAGAAAACAGCCTCTGTGGAACTTATATCCTAGAAACAAAAATTATAGGAGAACTAAGTATGTATATTTATATATGTATGGACACATACTGTGAACTTTCAATGTATAATATCTGTCTATAAGTATATAAATATGAAAATATATGCTTATATGTATATAATCACAAAAATGTAAAATATAATAGATTGGATGATTTGGAGGAAAGGTGTGAGTTTTATTGTCAGGCACATAATTGAATATCAACACTGACTTGTTTGTTTGTTTGTTTTGTTTTTTTGAGACAGGGTCTCACTCTGATTGTCCAGGCTGAAGTGCAATGGCAATTTTTTTTTTTTCTCACTACAGCCTTGAATCCCCCAATCTCAGGTGATTCTCCCACCTCAGCCTCCTGCTGGCTGGGACTACACATACTTGCCATCACACCCGGCTAACTTTTTGTATTTTTAGTAGAGACGGGGTTTTGCCACGTTGCCCAGGCTAGTCTTGAACTCCTCGACTCAAGTAATCTACCCACCTTGGCCTTCCAAAGTGCTGGGATTACAGGCATGAGCCACCACATCCAGCCCAACACTAGCTTCTGTGGGATTGAGTCAAGTCAATTTGCTTCACTATCCTCAGGGTTGCCTCCTAGATGAGACAGTTTCAGTGAAAACATGGAGCACAGTGCCATGCTCTTAATGATGTAATAAATGCACATTTCTTACCTCATGCCTTTTACCCACACAAGAGCAGTCTAACATTTCTCGTACGCATCAATGATCTCAATCAGGCCTAGCCCCATTTCCTATCCGATTCCAATTGACCAGTCAGTCATGACAGTTTGCTTCATCTTTAACTCTGAACCTAAACAGGGTGATTATGCATTTAAAGAGGCTCCTGTCCCATGAATAGGATGAATAGGGAGAGTTTTAAATGGACCTCTAGTGTCTCCATCCTTCTTTAGGGAACAGGCAATCCCCTACTGTGATAAGACCTTTGCCAGCCATACTGCCAGATTTTCCAGTGGACTTTCTGGTTGCCTACATGCACAGATCTTTTGGATAATAATAATTGACAGCAGCCAATATTTCTTGAACCATGAATAACCATTATTAGAAAACTGTCATTATCCCTCTGCAATAAAAGAGGAATCTGAGGCTTGGAGAACTTAAGTCACACGTATAGTAAATTATACTACATTGCTTATTATAGTAATGATGATTATACTATATTACCAGGTTCATTATATTATACTACTTCATATTCTACTAGAGTTTTCAATTCATGCTATACATTTTAGGATTAAGTATATATGAAAATTTCATAGTATCTTCTTTTAAATCCAAACTCTTGCCCATTTGTCCACATGGGTGATCTAATCCTAATTTAATATACATATACAGATAGATAGATAGATAGACCTATATACTACCAGAATTTGTCACTCAACTTTTATTGGCTTTGATTTTCTTCTCTTTCATAGGTCTCCTTCCTTCTTGTATATCTCATCTCCATGGTGGTACTGCCCCCAAAGCCAAGTGCAATTAGTTGAGCTTGGTTGACTTAGCATCCTTACAAATATAGTCTCTCAGATTCATAGCATCCTCCTCCTCATCCCCAGCAAATTTGGTTTTGCACATATTTGGTTTTGCACATATTGCAGATTTGGTTTTGCACATATTAGTATTGGTATTCTCACCCTGTTTTTTCTGCATCTGTCTGGAGGAATGAATTAGTTCTTGGGGTCCCATGTCATGCATGTCTCTTGTCTCCTAGGCTAGATCAGTACACATCCTGTTTCTGACTCTACTTTCTAGTAATAATGTGCGTATGGCATACACTAACACATGCATATACCGTGCTTAACACTATACAAACTTCATATATATGCATCTAAACACACACATATATGCATATAAGTGAATATATATGTATATAAAAACACATAAGTGACTATATATGAATATAAACTACTTCACAAAAAGAAAAATAAAATATGTGGAAAGTATAAATAAAAGAAGACATAAAGAATTCCAAGGAAATTTACAAGACGTGCTGAAAATAAAGTTTCTTGTTTGATTATAGCAGCAGAGGTACTCATATATTTTGGCATCATATTAATTTAGAAATCTAATTTGGGTTCCAGCTCTGCCACCCACCTGCTACATGATTGGGTAGTAAGTTTCTTACCTTCTACAAGTTTCCACATCCATACAACAAAAATCATATCAATCCCTCAAGGGTACACTGAAGATTAAATCATTTACTATAAATGCCTAAGTGTATGTTTTGTATAAGTAATTGAGAATTATTTCAGTTTTATATTAAATAAATAAGATAATTGCAGCACAGAAAATTCAGGGTTCTGCGAGATCATACTATGCATTACCATTCTTTCCTCCAAATCAGAAATGAGCAAGCTTTGGCCATGAGCCAAATCCCATCTTTGTGCATAATTTCCTATGGGAACATAGCCACTCTCACTTGTTTAGGTAAAGTCTGTGGCTGTGTTTGCCCTACAGTAGTAGAGAGGAATAATGGTGACACGAAAGCCTAAACTATTTAATAGTTAAGCCCCACTAAAGCCCAAACTATTTAATGTTATCTATCTAACCCTTTCAGAAAAAGTCTGCTGCACCCTGGTTTACACTGTGCTGACCCTAACCTCCTCTGCATCACCCTGTGTAGACAGGGAGCTCAACACTGGATTCTTGTGGCACTGAAACCCAACATAACTTTCTTTCAAGTCAACATGACTTGACTTTCTTTGACATTTTAAGGCATGGTCTCAGCTGGGCCTCAAGGACTTCTCAACGTTTTCAGTTGCACTGTCTTAGAATCCAGGAGGTCAATTTGCTTGGCTGTGTAATCTTTGAATCAGCTTATATTTTTGATTCCAATAAAATCATGAGTCAGAAAAAAAGGCCAATAAGAAAGTTATTTTTTCTCTCCTGCCAAAATGAAGACTGATACGTGCAGAAAATGTGGAACGAAAGGAAAACACAAAAGGAATTTTAAAAAGGGGTATTCTTTCTTCCCTTCAGACTTCACAGAGCTGCGTCTGGCTGGGGGCCAAATCTGGACCTACTAAATGCTCAATAGGACAAACCCTGGAAGGAGATGGAGCCCCTCCCAGTCTTTGTGAGGGACCCTGTGTTGCGGGCCCACTGGTTCCCCCTCCTTTGTTAATGTCCTGCTTCCCAGACCTCCTTTTCCTTTCCCTAGAGAGTGAGCCTCAGGGAATTATTGTGTCCCAAAGTCCTTGTCTGCCCAAAGAAGCCATCAAGATCCCTGAATGCTATCGAAGAACACTCATTATTTGGCACTTTCAAGAAGCTTCTTGGATGTTCTTTGCTATAAAGAATTTGCAATTCCTCTGAAGACAAACGGAAAAAAATCTGAATGAAAATCACATCTAGTAATAGAAAGAGAAGTGTTTTTAAACATCAATTTATTCACCCAGTCATTCGCTCAGTAACTACTTACTGAATACTTAACTCTACACAAGACAAACTGCAGTGAGACCTGAGAACAGGGTAGTCCTGACACAGCACATATGTTAAGTGGGAACAGATATATTTTAAATAAGAAAAAGTAATTGCTTGATTAAATTTGTGATTAGAACTATACAAGTAAAAAAATGAAATGAGGATGTTTCAATTTCATAAAACAGCAGGACTTGAATTTAAAAGAAATGACATATAATTTGAGTCCTGAAGCTTATGATTGTAGTTACGAAACAAAGGACAGCTAGTCCATGAAGCCTGGTTGCAGATCCTAAGACATGATAAAACGGAGAATGTGGAGGAATAGGAAAAACAGGGCTTATAACCTAGGAACAAGTACTACATATATCAATTATATATATAATTTTCAATGTACAAAGATAGCTAGAACTTTAAAATTATCTGAATGAACTGCTTTGGATGCTTAATTCTGCTTTAAGCCCCCTAGACAAGATATCGGGCCATTCAATTCCTGCTTAAAATCTGCAGGAATGGGGTGTCCATTTCCTTAGGCAACAGTTTGCTTCCTTTTGAAATATTTTCAGCTAGAAATGCCTTCCTTATATTATTATGGAACCGCTTGCCTTTGGCCTCAACTCTACTTCTACCAGGGAGTTCTAACTCATCTGCATGTGGCCTTTTCAGGTCTTTGGAGGGAGCCTGTATCCAACCACAGGCAAAGAATCCAACAATCACTCCATACCAGGAATTTCCTTTGTTCACTTGTTTTAAATGTGCTTAAGTGCCAGATGCTGCGATATGGACTAGGAACACAGGTGACAATTGAAACAATGTCTTATCTGGAGAAGTTTACATTCTAGATACAGGAAGGGAGAAACAGGTTGAATTATGTTATAGTTCGTGCTACTGAAGACGTAAGCACGAAGTACCATAGGAGCAAACAGAAATGTGCATCGCATTTCCAGGTGTTAGATACTTTGCAAAACATCTAGACAGAAATACCCTGAAGAAAGACCCGCCACACAGATGTGAACTTTCAGCTTCAGGTTAAGTGAAAAGGAATGCAATAAAAAAACCAAAGCACCACGTTAGCTCTGGGAAGTCGCTTTGTGCCTGAATTTTAACAATTATTTTATATTAATCCTTCTTACACAAATAAGCAAACTTGCTAATGGCACGTGTGTGGGGTGTGTGTGTGTGTGTGTGTGTGAGAGAGAGAGAGAGAGAAACTCTTAGGGGCTCAGAAAAGGTTGTATAGGCCGGAAATAAGTATGAGTTGTACGTTCCAGCACTTGAGTTTCCTCCACAACTGGTCAAAGTGCTCTATTTATGAGTGACAAAGGTGCCCACGCCCATCTGTCAGCTCAAATATGTGTTCACTAATACACATTCCCATAGTTGGTTTAAAATAATCTCAGGCTGCAAAGACATATTGTGCATCTGAAATATGTTACGTTGCTTATATAACTTTTTTCTCCAAAATTACCCCATGCATTGCCAGTTCAGGGGGAAGCAGCAAGAAAGTAGGTCCCGCCATGTGGTTGGAAGGAGCAGGGTGGGTCACCACCTTTAGACTCAAACAAGTCTGAGCTCAAATCTTCTCTCTGCCATTTATTAGCTCTCTTACCTTGGTCAAATTGCTCAACTTCTCTAAACTCTAACTTCATCAAAAGCCTTGGATGTACCATAAAACTCTGTGGGTGTTATTTTCACAAAAAATATTGAGATCATGCTTATGGAAATGCAGCCTGATCAAGGATGTATTTTAGAAACATCCTTCTGGCAGGAGTCTGTCTTTAAGTAGGGACGGGGATGGAAATTGAGAGATCATAAGCAAGTTTAAGAGTCTGTTTCCGTTTTCTAGGTGAGAGTCTATAAAAAAAAAAAAAAAAAAAAAAAACTTGGATTTTCTGACATCACTACACCAGGCTACCTGACTTGTAGCAGGAACACAGAAGCAAACGGAAACAGCTTTTCCTGAAAAAGGCAGGGACAGCTTCACAGTGAAGGTTATATTTAGCCAAAGCTTGGACGATGAATAGGAGTTTTAAAAACAGAAAAAGAGGACAAGATATTCCATGAAGAGGGGAAAGAGCATGCAAAGGAACAAAAACACAGAAGTAGATGCCTTATTAGGAGAAGGTGCAATTATTTTAGTGAGACTGGAGAGCATGGGTCTTAAGATACACGGAGGGGCTGGGGAAGGATAAATGCACACAGCAATAAAGCTGAAAATGAATAATAAGATTAGGGCCAGATTATAAAGATTCTAATTTAACTTCTATATTTTGTTTATTTATTTGCTTTTTCAAAATAGACTGATTCACTTATAAATCTCTATGCTGCTGACTCGTGAAAGCAATGCCAATCACTGTGTTCAACACTTAGTCAGGATATCACCCTCACCCATGAATGGTGCGGTTTGTTATCTTTCTTAGGTTGCAAACACATGTTTTTCCCCAGATTTCAGAAATGCTTATCTGTTTCCCCTACCCTCCTGAATTTTGACAATTCCGAACGCATTGTGGCATGTTTCTACCAAGGACGATTAGATATTTTGTGCCTCTACAATTCCATGGGTCTCAGATGACCTTTCACCATAGCAGTGGTCAGACCTGTGGAGCCCAGCTTCCCAGTTTTATCTAAAGAGCCATCTCCCACCCCAACCCATTCCCACGAGGGAAAATAGACAAGATCTCAAAGCCCCCTGACGTTCCTTCATCATTTCCGATTTGAGGTCAATTGAAATGAAAAGGGGTGTGCTAGCAGAGCTCGGGGTAAATGGTGGATAAGGAGGAATCATATTGGTCTCACCCTATCCAGAATCATATTTGAGTTTTGTTTCCAAAAGGAATATGCTTGTTTAATATAGATCATTATTGCCCTCGGCAGCTGAGATGGCATATTAATGACAGACTGGAAGACTCTTTAGGTAGTCAGTGGATTCACATTTCTCTCAGCCCCTGCTACATGATTCAATGACTAATGTGATCCAATTCCTCATTCCCTCAGGAACATCTTAAGTTTTGCCTAGGCTGACTCCCACCTGTGGACTTTAGTCTGAATGATTCCAATATTAGTAAAAATTATGGCACATAGATATTAAATCCAGCACTAAGCATCCTCCTTTGGAAATCACTAAGGGCTGATTTATCCAATATTGGTGAAAACAATTACATTTGAATGGTTTTCCACACTATGTGTGCATGTGCAAGCTGGTACCCCATACAAACCATTCACGGGCACACATCATTTATCTGTTCACAAATATTCCACATTTTTTGCAGCGCTTTTCATTCTTCATATAAACAAAGTAAGCATGTTTAGATGATTTTCCCAATGTTACTGGGCTCATTGGTGACAGCATCTTCAGGTGTGTGTGTGTTTTTGTGTGCTTGCATGTATATTGGATGCATGTCTATGCGTGTACATTTGCATGTGTGTGTGTGGTGTGTGTCTGCGTGTGCATGTGTTTGTGCATGTGTGCATGAGCGTGTGTGTGTGGAGAGACAGAGGATAGGGTAAATTTTTCCCTGAAGTGAGTCAAGTGCTCTCTCCACTAAAATCTGCTCTTCCATCAAATTCATATCTCCTATCCTCACATAATTCATCATCGATCCTGGAATCTAGGGTGTCTTTAATTTTGGTACCTGTTATATTAAAGATAAGAAATAAGCTTTTTTTCTTTGAGCCTGGGTTTTCCTACTTGCTGTTAAAGAGAGAGACCAGTGAACTGACCATGCTGTGACTGTGAATGTGAGCATGATGTGGTTTTGGTACTGGGAAAAGTATTCATTTGAGACAGTAACAATTGGCTCAACCATTCTGGATATGATGGAGGCAGGGACTGAAGGGAGGGCACTCTTCCAGGGAAATCATAGCAAACTAAGTAAGTTTCAACCTGAAGCAAGAGAATGTAAAGTGTACTCTGGGACATCAGTAGAAGACAAGAGTGCAGCTAAGTGCACAAGGAACTTTTCAAAGCACCATGTTGATATCACAGAACTACATTAATTTGTTTTATATAAAGCATTTTGTGAAGAATGATTATTCTGTTGTTTAAATAAAAATGTTCTGCGATCACTGTCTGAGAAAGTCAGATTTTTTACTCATCTAATTAAAAATATGCATAAACTGCACGATAATAAGTGTTAATGACAGTGTAGGCAAATAGGTATTCATTCACTGCCTGAGGAGATGTAGATTTATATAGCTACACTAGAGGTACTTTTGCAAAATATACTACAATATGAAATTCACAGATGACAAGCTCTGAACTATTCATTTCTGCAGGCTATTATTCTACAGGAAAACAAGGAGATGTGTACAAGAATGCTCATTAAAGCACTGTTTATAATGCTGAGCATTACAAACTCATCTAAAGGCCTAACACTAGAGGAATGGTTAAGTAAACACATATTTATTCTTTTAATATCATTCAACAGTTAAAAATAATGATTTGCAGCTATATGCATGGATATAGAAAGTCATCCAAGGAATATTATTGGGTGACAAATACAAATGGAGCATAATTACAACGTGAAATATATATCCAAACACACACATTCATACACTAAATACTATATATAGATACATATATTATATATTTTATTTTTTTGAGACAGAGTCTCTCTCTGTTGCAAGACTGGAGTGCAGTGGTGTGATCTCGGCTCGCTGCAACCTCTACCTCCTGGGTTCAAGCAATTCTCCTGCCTCAGCCTCCCGAGTAGCTGGGACTACAAGCGCCTGCCACCACGCCCAGCTAATTTTTTGTATTTTTAGTAGAGATGGGGTTTCACCCTCTTAGCCATGATGGTCTCCATTTCCTGACCTCGTGATCTGCCCACCTCGGCCTCCCAAACTGCTGGGATTACAGTCTTGAGCCACCGCACCTGGCCTTTTTTTTTGTTTTGCTCTTTTTGCCCAGGCTGGAGTGCAATGGCGTGATCTTGGCTCACCACAACTGCCGCCTCCCAGGTTCAAGCAATTCCCCTGCCTAAGCCTCCCTAGTAGCTGGGATTACAGGTGCCCGCCACCACGCTCAGCTAACTTTTTGTATTTTTAGTAGAGATGGGGTTTCACCATGTTGACCAGGCTGGTCTTGAACTCCTGACCTCTGGAGATCCACCTGCCTCAGCCTCTTAAAGTGCTGGAATTACAGACATGAGCCACCGTGCCTGGCCCATACTTTATATATTTTCTAAAAAAAAAAAAAAACAGATGTAATTAATGGTCTAGATGAGTATATACAAAACCCAGAAAAGACAGGAAGTTTTCAAAGGGCATTTTAATTTATGATTGATTGTATTATTGGCCCCAATTAATCGCCCTTCTCTCTACCTGTGGCCTGGGACATGAGATGTTTCAATCACTCTTACTAATGGGCACAGTTCATTTTCTTCATACTTGACTCTGGTTTAAGCCATGCTGGCTTTGGCTAACCTAACGAGGTGGAGATAGCTACACCAAATGTGAGGCTAGGCCTTAGGAAACCTTATATGTTCCTGCTTTTTCTCTTGCCATCTGCCATCCCCATGATAAGAAAGTTCCTGGGATAGACCACTAGTCACAGGTGAAGGATGAGATTTACCTAGACCAGAGCTGCTGCAGCCAACCTCAGAACTGCAGTGAGAAGCAGAGCCACACAGCCAAACCCAAAGGATCTGAATCCACCGAGCTGTGTATGCCCAAGTGATCATAGAGAGATGCTTTAAGCCATTGAGCATTGGGGTAGCTTAGAATGCAGTGTCATTGTAATAGCTGGACAATTATTACAATAGTTGACTAATCTGTAGCTCACTTATGACGTTTATTTAAAAAGCAAGTGAGAAATATGCATTCCAAAAAAATAAATATTAAAAAGAAAGTCAGCTAACGTTTGGCTATTCACATTTTAGGAGGCTATTATTTTTCTGGATGTGGGATGGCAGCCTGTCTTTTAGAAGCCAGGGTAGAAAGGAAGTGTTTTCTAAGAATGAAATTTGTCCTCCTATTTGTGTATACAAGGTGCGCTTGTATATTCTTTTACCTGTGACCATAGTACTTGGTCTGACCATGCACAGATCATTTAGATTTCTTGAACTTCTTTTCTCTGCAAGAAGAATGGAGACTAAGGATCAGGCTTAGTGATCTAAATTCTCTGATAGGCTTCACATTCTAACATGTTACAATCTGCCTTTCAAGCTTTACTGGGACATAGAGGTTTGCTGCATTCTCTGATGGAAGAGCCTCTTTGTTCCACTGTAAGGGAGAGCATTTGTTTTGAAATACTTTTCTCAGAATCTTATGATTTCACAGTTTTCACCCTTCAGGATGGCAATCTTTGTTAACTCAAAAAGAAAACTTTGAATTTTTTTCATTTTTTTTTTTGTTTTTGTTTTTATTTTTTGCCTTTACCCTCTCATGGGGCCATTTAATGCCATTTTTTTTCATGGAAGAGAATTAAAAAGTACACATATAGTCCTCCTTAACATATTAGAAAAGGGAATGAAGAAATGCATATTTATTGGGTTCAAAGCCCTTGCCAAGCTACAGGCAAGAACATTTCACATAGATTAGAAGCAATGTGACATGGTTGAAATAGCCAGATCTTATGTCTAAATGATCTGGGTTTGAACTTCAATTGCACTTCTAACCAGCTGTGGACTTTTGAAAACTTACTTAACTTCTCTGAGGCTGTGTGACTAACTTGTGAAAGGAGAAATAATAATATAGCCCTCAGTGGGTATTTTAGAGCACTACATGAAATACATAAAAGTTAAAAATATAGAAGAAGGCTAAAATATAATAATAGAGAATCAGTAGCTCTATTGTCCAACACTCCTTATAATAAGTCTGTGAAGTAATTTTATTGAACACATTTTGAAGATAAAAATTCTATAATCCAAAAAATGTAAACATTTTCTAATATTAAATTTCTAATATTAACATGGGGTGAATTCCA
Organism: Homo sapiens; assembly: GCF_000001405.40. Lineage (NCBI taxonomy): Eukaryota > Metazoa > Chordata > Mammalia > Primates > Hominidae > Homo > Homo sapiens. The sequence continues at coordinate 136,321,209 of NC_000008.11, read as the reverse complement.
TGGTTACAGTTAAATCTCAGGGACTTCCACATCTAGCCATGTAAGAAAAACAGGTCAAAAACTTTTCTTTTGGCATGCATTTCAAGAACACTAGATACAATAGTGTGAGGGGAGATGTGGTCAGACATGGAAAAAGAAAGTTTTTGAAGACTAGACAAAAGTGTGGGACCATGATCCCTAGAGAAGAGAATTAAACAACACAAACCCCGTAGTTGCTTCACCTTCCTTCCAGGAAGAAATGTTTGGAATGCAGAGCACAGGGGTCTCACCGAGAAGAGTCACAGATCAGAGTGTGGGGAGAAGGATGCTAGTATTCCTGGCACATAATAGCATTTTAGAAGAAGCTGTATAGATAAAGAGCTCCAGAAATAGACATGAATATCACCTGAGTCTTTGGCGAGGCATTAAGCTGTCCAGTTGTAGAGTAAGACTTCCTCAAACCTTAGCAAAAGGCACCCCACAGAGCTATAGGCAGAGCTCCAGAGGGGCACACCTCAAAGAAGAATAAAGTAGGCCTGGAGTAAGGTTCTGCTAGGCGAAAAAAAAAAAAGCTTCAAAAAAGCCAAAAGACTTAAAAAACATTCTGTGGCTAACTTAACTGAACTCCAAAACTGGACTCAATACTCTTTATGTGAAGGCAACAAAACACTGACATTCAGATTTAAAAATTCACAATGTAAAATAGCTAGACATAAAAGCATCAGCAACGTGATTCATACAAAGACAACCTATTTAATAAATACACATTCAACAATGATAGAGATAATAGAATTAGCAGACAAGGTCTACAGAAGAACTATAAAATGTTTGGCGAGGATTAAAAAAATATTAACACAATGAGGAGAGAAGTGGAGGATATGAAAAACAACTTCTCAGTTAAAAAAATCAGACATAAAACATTCTACAGATGATGCTAATAGTAGATTACATAATATCAGAAAATCATGGAACTTGAAGACACAGGAATAGAAATTACCCAAACTGAAGAACAAAGAGGAAAAGTGTCTGGAAAAAACAAATGGATCTTCACTGATGTCAGGGAACTCATTGAGCAGTATTTGGAATCCCAAAATGGAGAGAATAAAGAAGTGAGGTAAAAAGCCATGAATAAACAATGACCAAAAACATTCCAAATTTCATAAAAACTATAAACCCCCAGATCCAATCATCTCAATGTTGCCTGAACAAAATAAACACTGAAAAATACACCAAAGAACACCATAATCAAATTGCTGCTGAAAACAAGAGATAAAAAGAAATTAAAAGGCAGACACAGACATTAAAATACATTAGGCGCAAAGGAACAAATCATAATTAGTGCTGTCTTCTCACTCAAAAAACAACGCAATTTGGTGGACCAGGGAGATGTTAAAAAAATAATAAATGAAGTAGGGATAAATATAGTAAAAATAATAATAGGAATAACAGCAAACTTAACCACTATAAAAACTATGCCAAAATAATTTTCAGATAAAAGCTTAGAGCATTTATTGGGGACTCGCTTGCACTACAAAAAAAATTAAAATAGATTCCTAAGGCAAAAGAGAAATGACACCAAATGGAATTATTATCTATACGCACACAGATATCATAAGTAGCAAACATGTATGTTAATAAAAGACATGTTTTACTCATTTCTAACTTTTTAATTGACTAAAGCAGTACTAATGTTGCATTGACAGGTTATCATATATGTAGAAATGAAAATGATAATATTGTAAAAGATGAGAAAAACAAATGAAATTATACTTTTGTATAGTCTAACCCTACATGTAAAATAGAATTTTATTTTTTGAAGGTAGACTGTGAAGAGTTAAGAAAGCATACTATAAATTTGAGACAACAATTGAAATGTAAAATAAAAAGATGCAAAGCTATTAAACATGAAAAATCAGTAATATAAAATAATAAAACAAATAAGAAAGAAATCATTCCAAAAGAATTATGGAAATTATAAAAAGGAGAATCAAGGCAAAATTGGCCAAATAAAGAAAAAAATTAAGATAAGAGATTTAAACCTAAACTTCTCTATAATTACATAAGATGTACATGGTCTAAATATCTAAACACAAAAATTTAAAAGAAAGATTATGTCAGACAGGATAAAAGAGTAAAACCAAACTAGAAGCTGTCTAAAAAAATGTGTTTTAAATATAAAGACATAGCTTAAAAGCAAAAGGACAAAATAAGATATTCCATATAAATACTAGCATTACTTTCTCTGTTCTTATTGTAAGGCATCCAAATCATAAAGGAGGAAATAAAAATGTCTCTGTTTGCAGACAACATGATCTTACATATAAAAAACTCTAAGGACTCCTTAAAAAAACCCTGCTTGGCTGGGAGTGGTGGCTCATGCCTGCAATCCCAGCATTTTGGGAGGCCAAGATTGGAGGATACTTTAGGCCAGGAGTTTGAGACCAGCCCAGGCAACATAGTAAGACCTCTTTTCTACAAAAAAGGTCTTTTTCTACAAAAGCTTTTCTACAAAAAAGCTATTTTTCTACAAAAAAATAGCTGGGTATGGTGGCATGTCCCTGTAGTCTCAGTTACAGTTACTCAAAAGGCTGGGATGGGAGGATTGCTTGAGCCTGGGAGGTGGAGGCTGCGGTGAGCCATGATAGCACCAGTGCACTCCAGCCTGGGTGACAGAGGGAAACCATGTCTCAAACACACACACACACAGACACACACACACCACTCACTAGAATTAAGAAATGAATTCAGTAAAGTTACAGAATACAAAATCCACATACAAAAATCAATTGTGTTTCTATACATTAACAACAAAGCATCCAGAAAAGAAAATTAAGAAAACAATCCCATTTACAA